>NT_187541.1:0-111943 GCF_000001405.40 Homo sapiens | reverse complement strand
CCTAGATAAAAAGAAAATGACTACTATTGACCCTTTTTTATAGGTACATGAAATCTGTTTGGTGAATGTGAACCCTATTTGACTTAGTTGATCTGAAATTAAGCTATATTCATAGGGTAAATCATAATCATAACTCAAGAAATAGCATTTCATTATGCAAACAACTCTCAATTTATTATAATGGGCCTATTGTCTTAGTTATAATTAAACTTGTCTATCTATAACATGACCAGTGAATTCCGTGCTTGGTGCTTCAATTGTTTTAAGTAAATCTGTTTCCTAAAGTCATTTCAACAAAATGTATGTGCAAAATTAAACATAACACCTCATGTTCCACAGGCAATAAATCCTTTCCAAGTTTTTAGAAGAAGTTGTGTCCATGGGACAAGTGAGATGCATTCAATGTAAATACACTTTGTTTTATAGAGCAAAGATTTTGAAAAGCTGAAGACATTGTTGTTCATTCAACCTAATCTAAGAAGCCAAGAAAATCTCAGAGAGGTTAAAAAAAAAAGATGTTTTTCTGATATATGATTATTCCAATACTATCCAATTATGCTTTTATTTTATTATTTTAAGCAAATACAGGCTAGCACTATGTATTAGTGCATTTTCACACTGCTAAAAAGAAATACCTGAGACCGGGTAATTTATAAAGGAAAGAGTTTAATTGACTCACAGTTCTGCATGGCTAGGGAGGCCTCAGGAACTTATAATCATGGCAGAAGGTGTAGGGGAAGCAGGCACCTTCTTTACAAGGTGGCAGGTGAGAGACGTGCAAGCAGGGGAAATGCCAAACACTTATACAACCGTCAGATCTCTTGAGAACTCACTCCTCTCACGAGAACAGCATGGGGGAACTGCCCCCATGATCCAATCACCTCCCTCCCTTGACATGGGGGGATTACAATTCAAGATGAGATTTGGGTCAGGAAACAGAGACAAACCATATCACACTATAAAAAACATCATGTCAAATTATTTTTCTTACATTTCTACTCTCTTAATCCTTCCTTTAGTTTTAGTGTTTTAGAAAACAAAATGGCATTAAATAAAGGTGGTTGGGGTATTTCTATTTTCTTTGGTCTAATGAAGCAGTTCTTTCCTTTCATGTATTTTGTACACTGATTAAAGAAATCTTGATCCTTGAGTTCCTAATATGTGTATTTTTTTGTGGAATGTGTTTGAGATAGATAATTAATTTTGAATATAAATTAATGTATTTAACAACTGATCAAAAGTACTGATTAATAGGAAGATATGTCTTTAATTTTAAAAAGAGAGAGATAAATGAACTATTAATGAATGACTTTTGTTCAGGGGGCAAATGCCTTTGAAAACACAGCGTTCATGGGGCAGCAATGATTAGGAACTAGTACATTTCACTAGCAGACTTCAGTGATCCATTACATAGATATAGATTTCTGTCCCTAAAATATTAGGTGAACCTTTTCTGCTTCTGTGAAAATTTTTATATGCTTGGGTAAATTGGATTTACAGTTGTTGTTTTTTAGCTTCTAAAGGATGTGTACTACGTTTTGTAAACCAGCTATAAAGTAAAAAGCAGTATTGATTTTTAAACATCTTAAGATATAAAGCATTTCAGAATATCCTAAGAATAAAGTGCTGTATTACAAGTATTTTCATCATCTTTTGGCACCAGACATTTCTAAAAGTCAGTGTTTTCTGTGCTTATGACATTACCTTGAATTCACTGACATCCTTTTAGCCCAGAGGGATCTAACACTAGTAAATATCAAAGCCATATAAATTCTTGTTACTATGAGCTGAAATTCGTGTGTGGGCATAGGCAGACTTCAATTTAACAGTGAATTTGCAACTTGGAAAAAGGAGTATAAATAAACATGATTTAAATTCAGTTCATCTTTCTTAGAGAATCTATTTTAAATAACAAATTGTAATCCTGAAGATGTAAAAATAGACACTATATTTACTCAAGTCTTTATGAATTATGTGCATGTTTTGAGGTTGATAGCTTTCTTGTATATGCATAAATCAATTAAGATGACATTAAATTACCAAGCACTTCTAATTTACAGGAAAAGATCACCAGAAAAGGCTTTCCAGGGTAGGAAGAAGTGCTGGGGGTGAGGATGCTGATGATGGGGTAGGAGTGGGGACTTTCACAGTCAAGAGCCAAGGGCAGGGTATCTGTCTTACACAGTAGTGCACTAGTTCCTAATCATTGCTGCCCCATGAACCCTATGTTTTCAAAGGTTTTTGCCTCCTGAACAAAAGTCATTCATTAATAGTCCATTTATCTCCCTCTTTTGAAAATTTAAGACATATCTTCCTATCAGCACTTTTAATCAGTTATTTTTTATAAATAAAAATACAATAAAAATAACCCATATTTCCATACTGAGTGGATGTGATTCCAGCTGAAGCAAATACAATTTACATATTATTCTGGGTGGTTTTATCACAGGTAAATAAATGATCTCATTAGACATTTGGAAATATTCAAAATTCAAAATCCCACTTAATCCCAATCCCCTTTTACTTCTTCAAGGAGCTCCAGAGGTGATAGGTTGGAAATCCCTGTTCTGGATGTTGTCAAAAAGATACTGGTAGGGATGGAAAGTTTGTATTTAATCAGGTGAGAGTAGTTGTCAGTTCAGGGAATAAAATTTCTGTCAGCCAGAGGGTTTCCTCTGCATTGTCCTTAAGGTAGATGCTTACATCAATGCCGCATGCATTTTCAGTAAGAAGAGGTCAGGAGATCGAGACAATCCTGGCTAATACGGTGCAATCTCATCTCTACTAAATAAAAAAAATTAGCCGGGCATGGTGGTGGGTGCCTGTAGTCCCAGCTACTCGGGAGGCTGAGGCAGGAGAATGGCATGAACCCGGGAGGTGGAGCTTGCAGTGAGCCGAGATAGCGCCACTGCACTCCAGCCTGGGCGACAGAGCGAGACTCTGTCTCAAAAAATAAAAAATTAAAAAAAAAAAGAAGAAAGGACAGAGCTGAACATTACTGCAGTTGACCCTTTAACAATGTAGGGGTTAGGGGTGTCAACTCCCTGTGCAGTTGAAAATCCACATACAACTTTTGACTCCCCCAAAACTACTAATAGCCTACTGTCGACCGTAAACCTTACCAATAACATAGTTGATTAGCACATATTTTGTATGTTATATGTGCTCTTATATGTACATGTATGTTGTATGTAATGTGTATTCTTACGCATATGTTACAGTGTATTCTTACCACAGAGTAAGCTAGAGAAAAGAAAATGTTATTGAGAAAATCATAAGGAAGAGAAAATATGTTTACCATTCATCGAGTGGAAGTGGATCATCATAAAGGTCTTCATCCTTGTTGTCATCACGTTGAGTAGGCTGAGGAGGAGGGGATGAGGAGGGGTTGGTCTTGTTGTCTCAGGAGTGGCTGAGGCAGAAGAAAATCCATGTGTAAGTGTACCCACACCATTCAAACTCGTGTTGTTTAGGGATCAACTGTACATTCTTTATGCTTTTCTCACCTTTCTACAAAGTACCAATTATCACCAATTTCCATCTGTCCATCTGTTTTGTTTCAGCTTAGCCATCCCAAACATCCAAATTACCCACCAGGGCTAAACTACATCCATGATGCAGGGATAGCAGGAGAAAGGGGTTGAACTGGAAGCTGAATCTCCCTAGTCCACTGCAGGGCCTGCAGCTGGGTGGATTGAAATAGGGCCAGCTGGCAGAGCAACAACCGAGAACACTCCCCTAGCCAATTTCCTGGTAGACTTTAGTTTGGGAAACTTGAACACAAATTACCCTGGTGAGTGGTAATAAGGAGTAAGTGGTTACTGCTGAGTTGTTTTAATTTTCAACTTCAGTCACCAGGGTTTGAAACCCTTCCACTCCAAGTTGCTGAGTATAACCCTTGTATTCAGCTGAGGCTAAACAAATTTTAAACTCTTTATTTTGATAATTTTAGGCTTACAGAAGACTTGCAAAGATAGTACAGACAGTCCCCATATACCTTTTACCTGGCTTCCCATAATGTTAATATCTCACATAGCCATGGTACAATAATCAAAATTAAGAAATTAAGATGAGCTCAACAAATTGACTAAATTACAGACTATTTAGATTTCCCCAGTATTTCCACTCATGTCTTTCTCCTGTTCCAGGATTCAGGTTAGGATACTGCACGGCCTTTAGTTGTCATGCCTCCTTAATCTCCTTCAATCTATGACAGTTCCTCAGTTTTTCTTTGTCATTCATGACCTTGACACTTTAGAAGAGCAGTGGTTGGATATTTTGTAGAGCGTCTTTCAGTTTGGTTTTGTCTGATGTTTTCTCATGATTAGACTGAGGTTATGGACTTTGGGTGCTGAATGTCACTATGTGTTATTACTAGTGATGTTGGGCTTGATCACTTGGTTAAGGTACTGCCTGCCATTTCCCCTTTCCATACTTTGTCCTTTGGAAGTGAGTTACGAAGTCTAGACCCTGGAGTTATGTCCAATCCAGGGGTATTAAGCTTCACTTCCTGGAGGGAGAGTGTTTAAGGATTTGTGGACGTGTTAAAACTACCACAGTTATTAATAAATATTTGATGGCAGATATTTTGAAGCAATGTGAATGCCCTGATCCTCTTTAAAGTTTTGCTCACTAATTTTAGCATTTGTCAGTGGGTCTTGCCTGCTGCAGTTATAACTGTGGCACCCTAACGGTGACATTCTATTTTCCACATTTCTTCTCCATGTATTAATTGGAATTATTCTGTTAGGGAAAATCCCTTCCTCCCTCCCTCCCTCCCTTCTTTGCTTCCTTCCTTCCTTCCTTCCTTCCTTCCTTCCTTCCTTCTTTCCTCTCTCTTCCCTCCCTATCTTCTTTTCTTCCTCTCCTTCCCTTCCTCTCTCCCTCCCTCCTCCTCTTTCCTTCTTTCTGTTGTATATAGACTCATGGATATTTATTGATTTATGGATAGTTATTTTACTTTTTGGGTTACGATTCATTACTGTTCTTGTTTATTGTATTGCTCAAATTATTAGGAGCTGTCTCATCTTTTTGCATGTTTCTTTTCAGCACTAACTTACCTCTGTCGTTGAAAGATGAACCTCTTCTATTTCCCATGTTCCAGCCCAAGAATCACCCGTTTCTTTAAGAAACATGGTTCCTTTTATCGGAGAATGGCATTTAGAACCCAAAATCTGGCGCCTAGGATTCCCCATTGCCTCTAGATGGTCATTGCTTATAGCCCCTCTCAGCTTTTAGAGCTAGCGAATGATTGTGTGTATACAAATCCATATGTTTATATTTATTTCTGTATATCCATCTGTATACATATTAAATAAACATTAGTTCGTAATGATATCTCTAACTCTAGTCCATTAGCACAGGGATTGTTCTAGAATCCTCCTTTAGCCTGTTTGTAATTTATTTCTCCCACAGATACAAACCTAGCTGTCATTATCTATAATTTCTTTGTTTGTTCAACTCTAGTTCTACAGGTCTTGACAAATACACAGTCATGTATTCACCATAATGGTTATGTACAGAACTGTTTCATTGTCCCCCAAATTCCTTTGTAGTGCTGACCTCATTTTCTGACCTGCTAGGCAACAATTTTCTGCAATGGCTACTAGATTTAAAAACACTTGAAATTTTAGGGTACTTAAAACTTTAAGTAATAGCTTCTACCTGTTATGAGCATATCTTAAGATTTTTTTATTGTGGTAAAATATGTATAATGTAAATATGCCATTCCAACCATTTTAAGTTTACAATTCAGTGGGATTAATTACACATACAACACCATTGTGCAGCAATCACCACTATTTGTTTCCAAATCTTTTCTGTCACCCCATGCAGAAATTCTGTGACCATTAAGTAATAACTCTCCATTACCCACTTCCCCCAACCCCTGATAGATTCTAATTGACTTTCTGTCTCTATGAATTTGCCTATTCTAGATATATAAGGGGAATCTTACAATAGCTTTTCTTTTGTGGCTGGCTTATTTAACTTAGCATGATGTTTTCAGGGTTCATCCATGTTGTAGCATGTATAACTTCATTCTTTTTAATGCCTGCATAATATTCCACAGTATATGCATAGTAAATTTTGTTTATCCATTTATCTGTTGATGGACATTTGGATTGTTTCCACCTTTTGGCTATGGTGAATAATGCTGCAGGGAACATTGGTGTACAAATGTCTGTTTGAGTAAGTGTTTTTAGTTCTTTTGGGTATATACTTAGGAGTGGAATTGATGAGTCAAATAATCAATTACTTTTTTGAGTTACTGCCAAACTGTTTTCCACAGCAGCTACACCATATTACATTCCCACCAGCAATGCCCACAGATTCCAATTTCTCCACATTCTTGCTAACACTTGTTATTTTTCTTTTCTTTTTATTATGGCCATTGTAGCAGGTGTGAAGTGGTATCTCATTGTGATTTTGATTTGCATTTCTTAAATGATTAATGATGTTGAGCAATTGTTCTAATACCTATTGACCATTTGTATATCTTTGGAGAAATATCTATTCAAGTTCTTTGCCCAGTTTTAAATTGGGTTGTTTGCCTTATTGTTATTAAATTGTAAGTGTTCCTTACATATTCTGGATATGATCAGATATATGATTTGCAAATATTTTCTCCCATTTTGTTGTCTTTTCACCTTCTTGAGGAAGTCCTTTGATGCAAAAAGTAGTTTGATGAAGTTCAGTTTATTTTTTCTTTTAATGTTTGTGCTCTTGGTGTCATAGCTAAGAATCTGTTATAAAATCCAAGATCATAAAGACTTGTTTTCTGCTTTAATGGTTTTAACTCTTCTATTTAGATCATCGATCCACTCTGAGTTAATCTTTTGTCTATTTTTTAAAATAAAATTTATTGTGTATATTTAAGGTATACCACATGATGTTATAAGGTCCATATATAGTAAAAAGGTTACGATAGGCCAGGCTTGGCAGCTCACGCCTGTAATACCAGCACTATGGGAGGCCGAGGCAGGAAGATCGCTTGAGGCCAGGAATTAGAGACTAGCCTAGGTAACATAGTGAAGCCCCATCTGTAAAAAAAAAAAGCCAAAATTAGCTGGGTGTGATGGCACACACCTGTAGTCCCAGCTACTCAGGAGGCTGAGGTGGGAGGATCACTTGAACTCAGAAGTCCAAGGCTACAGTGTCACTCCACTGCACTCCAGCCTAGATGACAGAGTGAAACCCTGTCTCAAAAAAAAAAAAAAAAGTTACTATAGTGAAGCAAATTAACATATTCATCATCTCTCATAGTTACCTATTCTTTTTTGTTTTAGTAGCAAGAGCAGCTAAAACCTACTCGTTTAGCATGAAACCCATACATAGTACAATTTTATTAACTATAGTTTTCATGCTGTACATTAGAGCTCTAGATTAGTTCATCCTACACACCTCCTACTTTGTGTCCTCTGACCTACATCTCCCCATTTCCTCCCCTGGATCCCCATACCCCTAGTAACCACTGTTTTATTCTATGTCTCTGTATTTTTGATATTTTTAGGATTCTACATATAAATGAGATCATGCAATATTTTTCTTTCTGTGTCTGGCTTATTTTACTTAGCATAATGTCCTCCAGGCTCATCCATGTTGTGGCAAATGGCAAGATTTCATTATTTTTTAGAGCTGAATAATATTCCATTACACACACACACACACACACACACACGCACACACTCACACACCACAGTTTCTTTATCCATTCGTCTGTCAAGTGACATTTAAGTTGTTTCCATATCTTGGCTATTGTGGATAATGCTACAATGAACATGTCATATCATATCATATCGTATCATATCATATCATATCATATCACAGTTCCTTTATCTATTCATTCATCAGTGGATACTTAGATTGTTTCCATATCTTGGCTACTGTGAATAATGCTACAATGAACATGAGATTGCAGATATCTTTAGAGGGTGGTGATTTCACTTTCTTTAGGTATAGACTCAGAAGAGGGATTGCTGGGTCATATAGTAGTTCTATTTTAAATTTCTTTAGGTGCTTCCACACTGTTTTCCACAATGGCTGTACCAGTCTACATCCCCACCAACAATGTACAAGAGTTTCCTTTTCTCCACACCCTCACCAACATTTGCTGTCTTTTGACTTGTTGATAATAGCCATGTGTGAGTTGGTATCTCATAGTGGTTTTGATTTGTATTTCCCTGATGATTAATAATGTTGAGCACATTTTCATATACCTGTTGGCCATATTTATGTCTTCTTTGGAGAAATGAGAACTTTTGCCCATTTAAAAAATCAGGTTATTTGTTTTTTCACTATTGAGTTGTATGAGTTCTTTAAATTTTGGATAGTAACCCCTACCAGATATACGGTTTACAAATACTTTTTCCTAATTTATAAGCTCCTGTTTCATTTTGTGGATTGTTTCCTTTGCTGTGCAGAAGCTTTTTAGTTTGATGTAATCACATTAATTTATTTTTGTTTTTGTGGCCCGAGCTTTTGGTGTGATATCCAAAAAATAATTGCAAAGGCCAATGTCCAGGAGGCTTTCCTCTATGTTCTCTTCTAGAAGTCTTATGATTTCTGATCTTATATACAGGTCTTTTATCCATTTTGAGTTGATTTTTGTGTATAGTATTAGAGTCCAGTTTCATTATTTTGCATGTGGAAATACAAATTTCCAAGCACTATTCGTTGACAAGACCAATCTTTTATTATTGTGTCCTCCTAGTGTGCTTGTCAAAATTTAGTTGACCATATATATGTTTGGATTTTTTTCTGGGCTCTCTATTGTATTCCACTGGTCTATGTGTCTGTTTTTATGCCAGTACCATACGGTTTTAATTACTATAACTTTGTAATATAATTATAAAGCAGAAGTGTCATGCCTCCAACTTTGTTTTTCTTTCTCAAAATTGTTTCAGCTATTTGGGGTCTTTTATGGTTCAGTAAAAATTTTAGGATTTTTAAAAAAATTTCCGTGAAGAATGTCATTGGGATTTTGATAGGCACTGCATTAAATCTGTATATTGCTTTGGGTAATACAGACATTTAAACAATAGTAATTCTTCCAGTCCATGAGCACAAGATATCTTTCCATTTATTTGTGTTTTCGTCAGTTTCTTTCATCAGTGTTTTATAGTTTTCAGTGTACAGATCTTTCACCTATTGGTTAAATTTATTCCTAAGTGTTTTAATTTTTTAACGCTATCATAAATTGGATAACTTTCTTGATTTCTTTTTCATTTATGTTGTTATTTGTGTATAAAAATGTTACTGATTTTTGCATGTTGATTTTGTGTCCTGCAACTTTACTGAATTCATTTATTAATTGTAACAATTTTTTGGTGGGCTTCTTAAACAAATAGAATCATATCATCTGCAGATGGAGATAATTTGACTTCTTCCTTTCTGGTTTGGATACCTTTCATTTCACTTTTTTTTCTTTTTCTTTGTCTAATTGCTCTTGCTAGTACTTCCAGCACTATGTTGAATAGAAGTGGCAAGAGTGGCCATCCTTGCCTTGTACTGGATCTTAGTGAAAAAGCTTTTAGTTCTCCCTCATTGATTTTAATGTTAGCTGTGGGTTTTTAAAAAATGGCCATTATTACATTGAGAAACTTTCCTTTTATACCTAAACTTTTGAGAGTTTTTATCAAGAAAGGATGTTGGAGTTTTTCTGAGTCATTTGAGATGATCATTGGTTATCTTTTATTCTGTTAACGTGATGTATCACATTTATTGGTTTGCATATGTTAAACCAGTCTTGCATGTCGGGGATAAATCCTACTTGATTATGATGTATAATCTTTTTGATGTTTGTTAGTTTTGGTTTACTAATATTTTATTGAGGATTTTTACATCATTGTTAATCAGAGATATTGGCCTGTAGTTTTCTTTTCTTACGATGATGTATTTGTCTGGCTTAGGTATTGGGGTGATGCTGGTCTCATAAAATGTATTTGAAAGTATTTCCTCTAGCATTGTTCTTCAAAAGAGCTTAGGAAGTATTGATATTAACTCTGAATTTTTGGAAGAATTCATCTGTGAAGCCATCTGGTCCTGGGCTTTTCTTTTGAGGGAGGTTTTAAAATTACTCTGTCAATCTAATTATTTGTTATTGGTCTGTCCAGGCTTTCTATTTCAACCTTGGTAGGTTATATTTTTCTAGGATTTTTTCCATTTCCTCTAGATTGTCTAATTTGTTGGCATAAAAATGTTCATAATAGTTCCTTATAATCATTTTTACCATGGAGGTATCTGTTGTTATTTCTTCACTTTAATTTTTGATTTAATTTATTTGAATATTCTCTTTTTTTTCCTTAGATAGACTAGCCAAGGTTTTGCCAATTTTATTTTTTCAAGAAACCAACTCTTAGTTTTATCAGTTCTTTCTACAGTTTTTCTGTTCTGTATTTGATTTATTTCTGTTCTGATTGGTATTATTTCTTTCCTCATGCTAACTTTATGTTTAGTTTATTTCTCTTCTTCTTATTCCTTGAGGCATAATATTAAACTATTTATTGGAGAGATTTCTTCTTTTTTAATGTAGGCATTTACTAGTATAAACTTTCCTTTTAGAACTGACTTTGATGCATCCCATGGGTCTTGGTATATTGTGTTTCCATTGTCATTCGTCTCAACCTATTTTTACATTTTCCTTTTGATTCCTTCTTTGACCCATTTGTTTTTCAGGAGTATGTTGCTTAATTTCCATGTGTTTGTAACTTTTCTAAGATTCCTCCTGTTATTGACTTTTAGTTTGATACCCTTGTGGTCTGAAATGATACTAGATACCATTGCAATAATTTGTTAAGACTTGTTTTGTAGCCTAACTTATAGTCTATCCTGTGTAATGTTCCATGTGCCCTACAGAAGAATGTGTATTTTGCTGCTGTTGGATGGAATATTATGTGTATGTCTATTAGGTCCATTTGGTCAAAACTGTTCATTTAAGTCCAGTATCTCCATTTTAATTTGCTGTCTGGTTGATCTATCAATTGTTGAAAGTAGAGTATTGAAGTCTCTGACTATTATTGTATTGCTATCTATTTCTCTCTTCAGGTCCATTAATATTTGATTTATGTATTTAGGTGCTCCAATGTTGAATACATATATATTTACAATGGTTGTGTCCTCTTGATGAATTGACCCCTTTATCGTTAAATAATGACCTTCATTGTCTCTTGCGACAGTGTTTGACTTGAAGTCTATTTTATCAGATACAAGTATAGCTACCACTGCTGTCTTTGGGTTACTATTTGCATAGAATATCATCCTCTATCCTTTCACTTTCACCTATGCATGTCCTTAAAGTTTAGGTGGGTCTTTTGCAGGGAGCATACAGTTGGTTCTTGCTTTTTTTTTTTTTTAAATCTCGTCAGGCACTCTATCTTTTGATTAGAGAATTTAATCTATTTACATTCAAGAGTATTATTTACTGGTAAGGACTTACTACTGCTATTTTGTTATTTATGTTCTGGTTGTTTAGTAGCTCCTTTGTTTCTTTCTTCCTTTCTTGTTGTCCATCTTTGTGATTTGATGATTTTTCTTTAATGCTAAACTTTGGCTCCTTTATCTTTAGCATTTGAATATGTACCGTAGATTTTTGTTTTGTGGTTTCCATGAGGCTTCCATAAAACCTTTTAAAGTTATAGTCTACTATTTTAAGCTGATAACAACTTAACTTCTGTCACATACAAAAAATCTAGACTTTTTGGCCGGGCGCTGTGGCTCACGCCTGTAATCCCAGCACTTTGGGAGGCCGAGGCGGGCGGATCACAAGGTCAGGAGATCGAGATCATCCTGGCTAACACGGTGAAACCCCGTCTCTACTAAAAATACAAAAAATTAGCCGGGCGTGATGGCGGGCGCCTGTAATCCCAGCTACTCGGGAGGCTGAGGCAGGAGAATTGCATGAACCCGGGAGGCGGAGCTTGCAGTGAGCCAAGATTGCACCACCGCACTCCAGCCTGGGCGACAGAGCGAGACTCCGTCTAAAAAAAAAGAAATCTAGACTTTTTTACCCTTCCCCCTGCAATTTTGTGTTTTTGATGCCACAATTTATATCATCTTTTTAAACTGTATATTTCTTAACAACTTATTATTCAGTTGTTAATTTTAACAACCAGTTTTAATTTTAATTTTTATTTTTTTTGGAGACAGAGTCTCGCTCTGTCACCCAGGCTGGAGTGCAGTGGCATGATCTCAGCTGACTGCAACCTCTGCCTCTCATGTTCAAGTGATTCTTGTGCCTCAGTCTCCCAAGTAGCCAGGACTACAGGCATCTGCCACCATGCCCAGCTAATTTTTGTAGTTTTTAGCAGAGACGGGGTTTCACCATGTTGGCCAGGCTGGTCTCAAACTTCTGAGCTCAGGCAATTTGCCTGCCTTAGCCTACCAAAGTGCTAGGATTATAGGTGTGAGCCACCATGCCTGGCTACTTTAGTTATTATTTAATCATATTTACTTTTAACCTTCATACTAGAGATGTGTATGATTTACATACCACCATTACAGTATTCTGGATTTGACTATGTATTAACCTCTACCAGTGAGTGTTATACTTTCATATGTATTCATGAAAGTAATTGTCATCCTTTGTTTCTGCTTAAATAACTCCTTTAAGACTGTTCCTTCTTAAAAATAGGCAGATGCAATGTTAATATATTTCAAAACCTAATACTTTGGAAGAGGAAAAAAAGGCATGTTTAAATCTCACCTCTAATGTCTTCCAATGAAGGACTCCTGAACACCATCAGATTTTATTTTTCTGGTCCTTGGCTTATCCTGTTTTTCTGGGCAAGCTAGGTTCTGAAAGATTCCTTACCAATTTCTTCATGGAGGTAGGTGGCCTAGCATCACGGAAGTTCAGAGTGCTCCTTACTGGATCTGATGTCTCCTTCCCTTCCATAGGAGAAGTTTTGCTTTATTAGGATCATATCAAATTCTCATGAATCTCTATATAGAAGATTTTACTTCCTGGCATCTATCACATAAAAAATGACTAGACCTTGGAGAACACATACAAACTATTCTTGTTTTGGTTTCAGAAACACTGAAGGAATTTGAGATAATAGCAAAGCATCATAATAATTTTCCTTTAGCCTTTCTGTAAGGTATTATTTTTTATTTTCTTTATTTTCTTTTGAAGATTCAACTATGGCTGAGGAAGAATAGGTCATTTTTCAGTTTGCCAAGTACAGTGCAACTCCAACTTTGCCAGACTGCAATCTATCAAGAGTAAGTAACACGAAAATGTTCCATTTAGGTCTTGGCAGTCCCCTAAGAAAGACAGTGGCAGGTAGTGAATAGAGTTTAACAAAATTTCAAAGACAAAAGACACATTACAAATAAATATTGACCAAAAAGTATGTAATAATTTGGGGTTTGTTCTTTGAACTCTGTAACATAATGGTGAGTTTTCAAACCAGCCTGAAGGAAAGTAGGATTGAAACTAGAATGATGGACCGGGCATACTGGCTCATGCCTCTAATCCCAGCAATTTGGGATGCTGAGGCAGGAAGATTGTTTGTGTGCAGGGGTTCAAGACCAGCCTAGGCAAGATGGTGAAACTCCATCCCTACAAAAAATACAAAAATTATTCAGGTGTGGTGGTGCGTCCATGTAGTTCTAGCTGCTACGGAGACTGGGGTGGATCACTTGAGCCTGGGAGATTGAGGCTACAGTGAGCCAAGATAGCATTACTGCACTCCAGCCTGAGTGATGGAGTGAGGCCCTATAAAAAAATTAAAAGAGGGAAAGAAAGAAGAAGGAAAGAAGGAAAGAAAGAGAGAAAGGAAGGAAGGAAGGAGGGAAGGAAGGAAAGAAGGAAAGAAGGAAGGAAGGAAGAAGGAAGGAAGATAGGATAATGATCAAACAATATAAGCAAAGTACCAAAACAATAAAAAAGTTATTAGACTGCTATAACAATCCACTTATTTATCTAGAATGTGAAAAAACATGCAAAACGTGTTAGGTGAAGACCTTACATTTTATGATAAATAAAATACAGTTAACATTTGTAATTTCAGGTTGTCTCAAATATTTTTAACAGATTCTAATAATTTTATAGTTTTTCACAGTGTAAACACCATCATCTCAATGTAGAATACAAACAAAACAAAGTAGAAAACAAACTAAAAGCTACCTTTCTGAGCCTACCTTTTCTTTTTAATGTATAATGATTTAGATTCTGACAATTAGATAGCTCTTCATGATATTTTCATTTGAAATCAGTATATGTGGGGAAAAAGGAAGGACATGGGGCATCAATTTTCCTGGTGCAGATATTGGCAAAAATCATGCGATCCTTTGGTCAGATGTTGTGCCCCCCGCCCCTGGCCCCCTTCCTAACTATGGTGGAGACGTTGTGGTTCTGAGGTCTGCCCAGCATCTTCACCAGAGTTGTTGCTGGAAGTTTGGACTAGAAACCACTTTACAAATCTTTCCAAAGATTCTGTAAGTGACCTGCTACCTGCAGTAAATCCTTTTGTTCTTAAACTAATCAGAGTGAATTCTGTTGTCTGAAATTCAGAAATCTCTAACATAAAATCTGTTGAGTATGTGACTCTTTTGGAAAAAGTTTAATAGTGTGGCATTAACATGAAGTCTCATTTAAAAAATTGTGGATATCCAAAAGTTTTAGTGGAGAGTTACTTTCATTAAGCATTAGTTCTTTCAATAAAAATTAACATTGATATTCATTCAAATCTAATGTTTTAAATGGAGAATAAAAACAAAAAATAAATCAATATATCTATAAGTAGTTAGTGTTCATAGGCTTTTCTTATATTTCAGTATAAAATTTACATATAGTCATGTGTTGCTTAACGATGGGGATATGTTTTCAGAAATGTGTCATTAGGTGATTTTATCATTGTGCAAACATCGTGGAGTGGACTTACACAAACCTGGATGGTATAGCCTACCACATCCCTAGGCTATATGGTGTAGCCTATTGCTTCAGGCTGTAAGACTGTATAGCATGTTACTGTACTGAATACTGTAGGCAATTATAACACAATGTTATTATTTGTGTATCTAAACACATCGAAACATAGAAAAGATACAGTAAAAATAGAGTATAAAAGATTAAAAATGGCACACCTGTATAGGGCACTTACTATGAATGAGCTTACAGAACTGGAAGTTGCTCTGGGTGAGTCTCTGAATGAGTAGTGAGTGACTGTGAAGGCCTAGGACATTACTGTACACTGTTTTAAACTTTATAAACACTTTAAACTTAGGCTACATTACATTTATTTAATTTTTTTCTTTCTTTATATTTTTTAGAGATGGGATCTTGTGGTGTTGCCCAGGCTGAAGAGCAATGGCAGTAGCTTGCTTCAGCCTCGAACTCCTGGACCCAAGGCATCTTCCCATCTCAGCCTCTTGAGTTGCTAGGACTTCAGGCACATACTACCGCACTCAGCTAGGGTTTTTGTTGTTGTTGTTGTTGTTTTCTTTCTTTCTTTTTTTGAGACAAGGTCTTGCTGTGTTGCCCAGGCTGGTCTAGAACTTCTGGCAATCCTCCCACCTCAGCCTCCTGAGTAGCTGGGATGATAGGCATGAGACACTGTGCCAGACTCTTTCTTCAATAATAAATTACCCTTAGCTTGCTGTAACATTTTTACTTTACACACTTTTAAATTTTTAAGCTTTTAAGCTCTTTTGTAATAATGCTTAGCTTAAAATACAAATACTTGTACAACTGTACAAACTTATTTTCTTTCTGTTCCTTTGTATAAGCTTTTTTTCTATTTAATTTTTTAAAAACTTTTTGAACTCTTTTGTTAAGAATGAAGACAAAAACATGCACATTAGCCTAGGCCTATATGGGGTCAGAATCATCAATATCACTGTCTTCCACCTCTGCATCTTGCCCCACTGAAGGGTCTTCAGAAGCAACAATAGGTATGGAGCTACCATCTCCATCGTTGACTGACATGTCATTATGTAGCACATGACTATATATAGCCATATGTATGTTGATGTAGACATTTTTCTTTCTGAATGTGAATATATTAAATCTTTCTTTTTCTATTCTTAAACATATTCTGATTTCTGTATTTCTTAGGTTGGAGCAGTTGTGTCTGTAGGCTTAATGAGAAAAAATTCTCAAGGCAGACAGTGATTCCATTCGCAAATGTTTCAAATCCTCTGGAAGTGTAAAATTAAGTGTTTTAAGCCCAACAAACATATTTAGTATTGGCATTTCTTCACATCATTCAAGTAGCCTGTTGGAAAATCATTCTGGGGTTACCATATAATACAAAAGGAGAGTACAGGTCCATGTGAATATTTTATGGTTTATTGTATGTCAATTTAATGCTGCAGAAGAAATGGGTAGCCCTGGAATCCTTTTGCCAATGAGATCTAGATGAGGCTGGTGATCCAATTAGTGTAATGGGTATCTGGCAGCCTAATGGTGCACTTCAAAGCCTGGCTGAGAATGACTGGCCCTCATCCATACTTTTACAATACAAGAGAGAGGAAACAGGATGTGGAGTCCTGCTTTTTCTGTGATGCTTTAAACCCAACTTAGTCTTCAAAACCAGGATTTTTTCTATTGGAAAAAATATCATCCACATATCAGTTCTTCCCTCTGTAACCTTTCCTTTCTACATGCCCTCTTCTCCTTCTTTTTCTATCACATCTTATTGGCCTCATTCTCGTGATTCCACAGTGGTCCAAAGGACTATTCTTTTCTTCTTAGTTCATAGAAACCAACCATTATTTTGAGGATATTTACATGATGTGGCAGTTACTTCAGCAATTTTTAATAATTTTTTTCAAGTCTATGGGCTTCAAGTAGTGGTTTTCAAAAAATTGGAATCTGTGAACATAAACAATGGGAAGTCAGTAGTCTCCACATTTTAATCTTTTGATCCTCTTTCCAAAGGCAGCGAAAATAGCATGGTAAAATTTCCTCCATCTTTTTCCTTTGGAACTAGAATCATAGTTCTTTAAGTAACTGCATAACCTTTTAAAACAATTGTATTCATTTTCATTGTTATGCACTGTCTGCTGAGATACAGTCCACCATGGGCCTCTTGGGCTCCTACACAACTTGCTGCATTTGCCAACATCCCAGGGCTTTGACTGTTATACCTGGGTCACTTCTCGGGATTGCTCATGTACCTGGTAATTCTGAGATGATGGTGCATTGCAGTTTTTACACTGCACTTGGGCTTTTTCCGGACAAAGAATAGGCTTGCTTAAAAACACATTCCCTAAGCTTGGATTCCTTTCCTGTGACTCACCCCGCTGTATCTGCAAGCTCTACTGGGCCCTCCATATTGCCCTATGGGATTTGGGACTTGAGAAACTGATGCAACCATGCTGGTAAATCTCATTACTGTTCTGCTGCAGCTAAGAATGTCCTTTGTCTCTAGCTCAGGGGTCTAGTGCCTTCAGTCAGCATTAATGGAACTGTGGCAGGCTAACTTGTTATTTTGGTGGGAGTTTTCCTGCTTCTAAGTTTCCTTCATATCGTCAAACATAGTAAAGTAGGGCAAAATCCCGATACTTTATTTGTAAAGAATTCAAGTCATTGTTATACATTCTGTATTTTTTCTCCTAAAACATTTTTGAGAAGTATGTAGATACAGGTTTTTTCCATTTTATAAGTGAAGAGTTGGAAGTGGAGGATAAGTGATTTTTCTCAAGATCATTTTCTTTCTTTTTGAGACAGAGTGTCATTCTCTCACCCAGGCTGGAGGGCAGTGGTGTGATCTTGGCTCACTGCAGTCTCGACCTCCTAGGCTCAAGTGGTCTTCCTACCTCAGTTTCCCGAGTGGCTGGGACTACAGGTATGTGCCACCCCACACAGCTAATTTTTGTATTTGTTATAGAGACAGGGTCTCACTATGTTGCCCAGACTGGTCTCGAACTCCTGGGCTAAAGCGATCCTCCTGCCTCGGCCTCCCAAAGTGCTGGGATTACAGGTGTGAGCCACCATGCCTGACCTTCTCAGAATCATTTAGTTAATTCGTAGCAAGTCAAGTGCTACATTTTAGCCCTT
This sequence comes from Homo sapiens, assembly GCF_000001405.40. NCBI lineage: Eukaryota > Metazoa > Chordata > Mammalia > Primates > Hominidae > Homo > Homo sapiens. The sequence continues at coordinate 93,939 of NT_187541.1, read as the reverse complement.
CTCACTGATAACACAGGAATGGTAGTATCTTTGCTATATAATAGTGCTATCTTCTTTCTCAACTAACATTTCTCTTTGCTTAATTTGGAATATAGAAATTATAATTGCTATTCTAGGAAGAAAGGATTCTGGGTAGTGTAATTACTAACTGAAAATCTGAAATTATGCAGACTTCCCAATATTTCAATATTTCAACATGATTTGTTTCAGTCTTCACACAAAAATAATACTCATATAAGAAAAATAAAATGATATCAATAATGTTCATTCTTAGCCTCAAACACAGCATTTCTCACAGCATGGTCCTCATCAAAATAATCTGGAGAGCCCTTTAGGAATACAGATTCCTGGGCTCCACCCCAGAGCTACCTAATCAGAATTTCCAAGGTGCAAAGGAATCCTGTGTTTTTTATCAAATGTCCAAGGTGACCTTTTAACGCCCATTTTAGTTTGGCATGCATTACTGCCAGGGATAGGTTATTTTTATAAACCAAGGGTGGGAAAATGACCATCCTCTGGCTAAATACCTACGAATAGGAGAATTGGCAGATATACAAACCTGTTGCTGAAGATAGTACTTAAAAAAAGTCTTGATAAAAGGTGTGCAAACCAACGCCAAATTTATCCTCTAGAAAACCAAAAATCTTGCCTTACATCATGAATTCAGCAGTAGCAATTAGAAAACGTGCCTATATTTTGTGAAATTGCAGGACTCATCTAAGAAATGTGTGTGGAGACCTTCTATTCTGTGGTTTTACAGCACCTCCTTTTGCCTATACATAAATGCACTCAATTTATGTAGATGGAGTCCCTGCTTTCTGGGCCAAGCACCATTCTAGGCACGGTGCTACAGTAGTGGATAAGGTGGCTGAAATCCCTGCCTTCAAGGTCTGTACCAGAGGAAGACAATATTTGCTTCTTAACAAAACGTAAATTTCTTTACAGATGAAGATGAAAGGGTTTTGTGTTTTGTCTTGTTTGTCACCAATGACTTCATCCTAACCATTTTGCATGCTAAATGTTTTTGATATTCTTTCTCTCCAGGTATGAAGCTGAAAGTCTGGTTCTAAGACAAGGACACCTACCACTTGAGTGCTATTGGATTCTTGCTGGACATTTAAAGGTCATCTCAAGCAATACAAGCACAAACAAAAATTCAAACTCTGACATTTTAAGTGAGTTTGAAGAAGGTGACTTCATAGGGGTAAATAGTCTCTCAATTTCTCAGTCTCTCATCATCATTAAATTATGTAATCTGTATGATATTGCATAAAAATAATTAACATAACATGCTATAGTATTGTCCTTAAGTATCAAATGTCTCACTAATTGAAATACTTAGAATAAAAGCACATTTTTACTTGGTAGTGTAGAACCAATATATAACCTAATATGTAGTTTGTCAACATATAGAACATACAATAAGAGTCACAAATTATTGTTATATGAAAGATCGACCAGCTAAATGAATGAGTTGTAAACCATGTAGCCTTGGAGGTAGGGTGATATTCACAAATAAAATAATTATACCCAAATAGTGATTGATTCAAGGAACTCTTTTTAATTATTTACAAAAATTATATTCTTGTAAAAGATTTTATATAAAAAGGATAACATTTAGGCTAAGAAAGCAGCTTGTATATAAATAATAAAACATTTCATTTCTATATTGAGTCATGGTCAGATAGGATTTGCTGATCCTCAGATCCAAACACCTCTAAGTAACAAGGTCTTGAAAGATGGGAGCATTTGCTGGGGTTGATTTTGAAAGTGCCAGTTAAGGTGAGATACAGTATTAGAAAAAATGCTAAAGATTCTGGACTTAATGCTACAGGCAGTAGAGCTCATTGAGGGTTTTTACGTAGGGAGGAGATGGATCAGATTAACTTCTAAATAGATGACTGTGGTGATGTGGGGGTGCTATTAGCAAAGGGAAGACAAAATGGAATTGGGGAGCAGTTGGGAAACTCATCAGTGGACCCTGAACCAAAGCACTAGCCATCAAGATACCAAATAGGAGATGGATTCCAGATATTTTATTGGTAACAAATTCAATGTGAAGGGCAAAGGAGAAAACAAATCATGTATTTCCAGCAATCAAAAAAAAAAAAAAAAATCAAACCCAGCCGGGTGCAGTGGCTCATGCCTGTAATCCCAGAACTTTGGGAGGCCAAGGCAGGCGGATCACCTGAGGTCAGGAGTTCGAGACCAGCCTGGCCAACATGAGGAAACCCCCATCTCCACTAAAAATACAAAAATTAGCCGGGTGTGGTGGCGTGTGTCTGTAATCCCAGCTACTCGAGACTGCTGGCCAGCCTGTGACAGGGCAGACATTATAGTGCTGGAAGCGCTCAGGAGGCCCCCTTAGGACTTTCTGATCCTCTGTGGACTCCAAGGTTCTGCCCAGGATCAGCAATTGTTAGTATGAGATGGAGCCACAGCGGTTAGCTAAACAAACCTTTTGACTTTACTCCTTCATAAATGGAGAACCATAGCAGTTAACCAAATCGCTCCTGTTTACACAGCTGATGAGTGGCAGAAATAAGAGCCGAATACTGATTTTACTGCTCGTTCACTCCACTGTGCTGCCTCAATTGTGTGAGGCCAAATCAAGCCATTGGTTTTCCAACTAAAGGAAAGGAACTTGGAGATCATCTGGATTGGTGTTTGTCAACTTTAATTTTGAGGTCACAGCATGCTCCTTTCTCTAAGACACCCCTACCTTGAGACTTTATTGCCACATCTTTTTCAATTTTATTTATTTATTTTTTATTTTTTTTTAGAGACAGGGTCTTGCTGTGTTTCCCAGGCTGGAGTGCATGGTATAATCATAGCTTACTGCAGCCTTCCACTCCTGGAATCAAGCAATCTTCCCACCTCAGCTTCCCAAATAGCGGACTACAGGCATATGCCACCATGCTTGGATTTTGTTTGTTTGTTTGTTTGATTTTTGAGACAGAGTCTTGCTCTGTCACCCAGGCTGGAGTGCAGTGGTGCAATCTTGGCTCACTGCAACCTCTGCCTCCCGGGTTCAAGCAATTTTCCAGCCTCAGCCTCCCGAGTAGCGGGGATTACAGGCACGTGCCACCATACCACTAATTTTTGTATTTTTAGTAGAGACGGGGTTTTATCATGTTGGCCAGGCTGGTCTTGAACTCCTGACCTCAGGTGATCAGCCTGCCTGGACCTCCCAAAGTGCTGGGATTACAGGCGTGAGCCACCGCACCCTCTATTTAAAAAAATTGTTTTATAGAGATGGGGTTTCGGTGTGCCACCTGGGCTGGTCTCGAACTCCTGACCTAAAGTAATCCTCCTGCCTCAGCCTCCCAACAATTTTGTAATCACAAAAAGTGTTATAATTTTGTGTACGGTCACACTAACACTATCCCCCCTCACTGAGCATCATGGATCTCTGTCAGCTTCTCCCTTCAGGCTTGTCATCTTCAGAACAAAGCACCCCCTTTCCTCAGTAACAGTGCTGAATGTAGGTAGGACACAGCATTATGTATTCTTACAGATCATGCTTCTGTTTTAACACATGAGGCATTCCATAGCAAAGAATCATTCAACCTGACATTCTGTTTTAGTGCAATAGTTTGCCGAAAATAGTTCTGCCAAGGCTGATGAATTATTTGAAAGTAAAGTCCAAACAGTTCATATTTCTTAATTCTGTAAGCTCAAGATTTATTTTTTAAAAATTATTTGCTTAAAATAATGCATACTTATAATTCCAGTTTCCCAGAGTTTATTATAAGAATAATGTCAGAGCTGAAATAATTCTAGAAGAGAGGCATTTGTTTTTATTTTTCAGGAAAACTGCCTTTCAATTAATGCCAATCTACCTACTTCAATTTTATGTGAAACAGATGTAAAACTTCTGGTAATAAGTAAAGAGGTAAATATCTGATCATAGTCCTAAAAACATCTACTATTTTAAGAAAACCTTTTTGGGAAACCTTGATAAATGCCAAAGCCGAAAATATTTACATTGAGAATGAATACTAACAAAAAATTTGTCTATGGCATAGTGTTAGATCTTGATGCTTTGTGCTGGTACATCAGTAACCTTAGTTTGACAACAGATTGCCACAGACCATAAGATGTTTTCAGGATAATCCATGTAAATCTGTTTGATTAGTACCTGGAAGAACAAAACTGAACAAATAGTATTATTACTATTAGTTGTTGTTGTTAATTATAATAAAGAATAACGACGCTGTTGATGGCAAACATGTTCATCAAATTAAAAAAAATTGTCAAGTGACTATAAGTGCTGTGTTGTTTAGGAAAATGGTTGACTGGTTCATTGGTAGGTTTATAATTTAAAGTTAAAATACCTCTTCCCAGGGCCATGCTATGATGCTGCTGGAACACTTAATGAAGCAGGAGCTGTGTGTGACTCTGTTGTTTGACAATCACAGTGGTTTTTGTTGCACAAGCCTGTGTCAAGTGGAAAGCAGAGTTTTTCATTTTTATTATTTTTGGGGAGTAATTACAAGTGTTTAACAATTTTTATAGCAGGCTCAGGAGTGTACTATAATTCCTTTTTATTTAAAAATATTTATCAGATAAATCTCGTGAGACATGCAGCCTTAGTTTGAGGGTAATGGTGATCTAACAGCAGCTACTCTAAGGTGTTTTTTTTATTACTCATGACAAATGGCTTTCTGAAGCTATTTAGGCCATGCATTCCTCCTCTGCCTTATAAATCTTGATGTGCCAGGTACGGGAGGGATTGCTTAGTTGATCCCTTGGGAAACTGAAGTGAAAGCATTGATTAGACTTCTTTGGGCCGAGAGCCCTATTCAGCTATTTAACTGGGAGGAAAGTCTTTGTGTTTTTCATTAGGGAACCTAGGAGCAACAGAATCTTGCCTAGAGATATTTATTAGTATTAGTGTGGTCATAAGTACTGTCTACTCTCTACTCTCAGTAGGCCATTATGGAAGCCCAGAATGTGTTTGAATCTATAATGATTTGAATTTTTCAAATGGATACTTTTGTCAATACTTATCAGATAAAGTTCATGAGTTTTTCTGTATGTAAATCATTCTGTGACATGCTCCTCAAATTCAGAGTAGAATGTACAGTAATCTGATTTGAAAGTATCATGAGAAATTTCTGGAACATTTTAGTATCTATGAATATCAACTTAATAGATGCATTCTATATTCTTCTTTACTGAACCAGTGCTGTAAGAACTTGCTGGACTGCAACTATTATGGCCAGAGTAAGCACCATATACTCAAATGTCCTATGAAAAAAACATCAGAAATACAGTGATATATAGGATGTGGTTTTCTTTTTAAATATTATATTTGATTTATTATTTATGGACTAAAAAAGAAAGGTGAGCTCCATTAACCCAGTGACCTTTATTTTTCCCCAAGCAGGATAATTGCATTCTAATGGAAATAGAGGAACAGTAGGTAGGTATTGTAAATACAACTCCCTAAACACTGGGGCTGCTCGCTTCAGCCTCTGAAAGTGTCCAGTGAGTTTTAGAATAAATTTATAAGCAACTCAAATTTTTTACCAAACAAAATAGAAAAAAAATGCTGCCAATCTGTTAGCATCAGGAAAATCTAATAATGTTCCTAGGGTTAATCTTATATTTTCGTTTTGCATTTCATATCCTTTTAAAAGTAACAGTCATAGCTTTCATTCAAGACTGAAATGATGTCCTCACACTAAGTGTCACTGTGGCGTATCTCAGCCACGGCAGGGATGTGCTCATATTTTGAGTACCGTGTACACCTTGTATGATAATCACGAACCATGGGCTTCCTCTCAGGCTGCTCTTCGCAGACCTTCTGTGTTTTCTGATCTGATCACATCATCTGGTTCTTAAGAACCTAATTTTGAGACCAACCAGAAGAATGGAGCCCTCAGTTCTGCCGTAGGCCCTTGGTGTTCTGAGGTCACAGAGGTAATCCGGGGGGAGACTGTCAGCGATTCTCAAATGCATCACTGAGTTTCTCCAATTGGTCTTCACCAAACAGGTAAAATGAGAATGATATGGACAGTGTATGTGTATATTTTTCACAAAGCTGAATTTATTCACATTTTTAAAGCAAGGTCCTTTAGTTTTTAGAGTATGCTCTTTGTGTGTGTGTGTATATGTGTGTGCATATATATGTGTATATATATATGTGTATATATATGTGTGTATATATATATGTGTATATATATATAGTATGTATGTGTGTGTATATATATATTTCAGTGCCTAAATTTATTTATTTATTTAATTATTTATTTATGTTCTTTGAGACAGAGTCTCCCTCTGTTGCCCAGGCTGGAGTGTAATGGCACAATCTTGGCTCACGGCAACCTCCACCTCCCGTGTTCAAGTGATTCTTCTGCCTCAGCCTCCTGAGTAGGTGGGATTATAGGCACCCATCACCATGCCCAGCTGATTTTTTTGTATTTTCAGTAGATGCCGGGTTTCACCATGTTGGCCAGGCTGGTCTCGAACTCATGACCTCAGGTGATCCACCCATCTCGGCCTCCCCAGGTGCTGGGATTATAGGCATGAGTCACCAAGCCTAGTCAAGGTCATTTATTTTGTGAGGAGCTATGTTGATGCTCCTGGTAGCTTTTCTTTCTTTCTTTTTTTTTTCTTTTCTTTTTTTTTTTTTTTTTTTTTGTACTTTAAGTTCTGGGATACGTATGCAGAACGTGCAGGTTTGTTACATAGGTATACATGTGCCATGGTGGTTTGCTGCACCCATCAACCTGTCATCTACATTAGGTATTTGTCTTAATGCTCTCCCTCTCCTAGCCCCCCACCTCCCGACAGGCCCCTGTGTATGATGTTCCCCTCCCTGTATCCATGTGTTCTCGTTGTTCAATTCCCACTTATGAATGAGAACATGCAGTGTTTGGTTTTCTGTTCAGTTTTCTGCATATGGCTAGCCAGTTTTCCCAACCCTGGTAGTTATTTTAATGCTTTTACTTGGCACGTACAAACAAAAAAGAGGTTGCCAATTGTACATAATATCCCTCTATCCCCCACCATTTAAAAAATATTTTAATTGATCTGGGAAATCTTCAAATCTGGAAACTAGTATGCTTTGTTAACTGTTTTGTCTTTTTGGGGACTCAGATCTCAGTGATAACAAATGCTTTCTCTACACTGCTTGTTTGCTATTTTCTATGCCACATTGTCTATCAGAACAGTATTGTCCAGGCCTTAAAAGCATGGGTCTTGAACCCAGGCTACCAGGGTTCAAATTTCAGTGCAGCCACAGTGAACACGGGGCCACTTATTTCACCTTCTGAGCCTCAGTTTCCCATCCATAAAAACAGCAAAAACAACACCAATTGATAGAGTGTTAACAGTGACCATTAAGTGAGCTAGTATAGATGAAATGTTTACAACAGTGCCTGGCATATGAGATATATATTGACATATATGAGTTTTGCAATTGATTATATTTTCCTTCTTTGCTTTGGTAAGAGGATATTTACGTCCTGATTTGCACACATCAAGCCTAAGATTTCCTGGGACACAGTTTGGTGAAATACTATAGCTAGCTTTCTATTTCCCTGTCTGTATTCTCCCCTCTCTCTGACTCTAACCTGTTTATTTTCACCATTGTATTATGTGTATTTTTAATGAATCCAACAAATACTAGGGATTGGGGTAAAATATAATTAAATTAAATTAAATTAACTTTAAAAGTTTCATCTCCTGCACCAAGCGTTCCATATATTCAGGCCAGAGTGACTTCACCATCCCCTGACATCAGAGCTACTTTGATTATACAACTCACTCAGCCATCTGTAGGCTCTTTGAACATTACAGCGAGAAATGTATGTGAAGTGGCTATGGTCATGAGACACCATGGGACCCCAGGGAACGGCTGCTAGGGCGGAGGCCTTTAATAAAACCAAGACCAAGTAGGAAAAGATTATAGGAATGAACACAGCTGTAACTCACAGTATCCACCACTGCCATTTATGGAACACTTATTTTAAAAAAGCCAAACTGCATTGTTCTAAGTATTTTACTTGTATTATCTCATTTAATTCTCTCAATAACCCTATTAGCTACTTTTCTTTTTACCTTTCATAGATGAAGGAAAGGAAGCTAAGAGATGTTAAAACAAATTGTTCAAGGTTCACAAGATTAATAAGTAGTGGAACTGGGACTCACCCAGGGTACACCCAGAGTACCTGACCAAAGCTTCTACTTGTAACCACTATGATTTTCTGTCTGTTAAGTTATTCCCAGTGAGTGATGCAATGAAAGCTATAGGCCTCCCCATAAAGTTCCAAAAGATTACACCGGCAAGCTTGGAGAAATGGTTGTGAGACTTCCAGGATAATAAAATAAAATAAATAAAATAAAATAAAATAAAATAAGGTATATTTATTCATTTGTGCCAAGTGCCAAGTGGCCCATCTGACAAATATGCCACTAGAACACTGTGCAAACCTAGGATTGTAGCCTGATTCACCATATTATTATTATTATTATTTTAATTGAGACAAGGTCTCACTCTAACACCCTGGCTGAAGTGCAGTGGCACAGTCACGGCTCACTGCAGCCTGTATCTCCCACACTCAAGCGATCCTCCCACCTCAGCCTCCCAAGTAGCTGGGACTACAGGCGCATGCCACTACAATCGACTAATTTTTGTATTTTTTGTAGAGATGGGGTTTCACCATGTTGCCCAGGCTGGTCTTGAACCTCTGGGCTCAAGGGATCTGCCCACTTTGGCCTCCCAAAGTGCTGGTATTACAGGCCTGAGCCACCTGGCCCTGACTCACCGTCTTAATCAAAGACTCGTACACTCTATGCTTACTATCTGGTTCCATAGTGGGTAGAAGCGTTTACTTACTATTGTATATGCTTTAAAATTTTCCATAATAAAAGCTGGGGTTGGGTACTGAGAAGTAAGCAGTTGGCACTTCTATGCCATCTGGCACTTGGCAGCCAAGCTCCTCTCCTGAGCAGTCAGGGAAACCTCAGCGGTGGAAGTTCATCTCAGGACATTAGCAAACCTCAGATGTCAACAACTGCCTGTATTTTGGAAAGCAGCTTCATGCTGGTGCATCTAGAGCCATGGTGTGCGCTCTGCTGTAGACAGGCAGTGGGGCAGTTTCAGCAGTGTCTGCCTTTGTGGGAAAACACATACTGTGGCAGAGACTGAGTGGCCACAGGAAACTTGAAGTCCTAGTTTTGTATTTTGAACACATGCATAACAGGTCCTATCTAAAATTGAGTGAGTGGCTGTCAGCAGTACTGGTGTGGTTGCCTAAGAAAGTTACAGTGGCCGTTACAATTCACAATTTTCTCTTCCTGGTTTTGTTTTGTTTGTTGTTGTTTACTCAGAAACTTGATACATCCAAACCATTTTAGGTTTTAATGGATCTAGAGTACTAGAAAAAAGAGTTCTAAGCACTGAGAAATAAATGTCCCTCTGAGAGTGGTGATTAAGCCTGTTCGGGAGTATGTTGCTGATTGTTCATCTGAGGTCCAGATTTTACAAAAGCTTGTCCCTGAGTACTTAGGAAATTGAGTGATCTTTGGATGTGTGTCATCCAGTTATTCACAGCACACTTCTGGTTTCATCTTTATTTTGAACTTGTTCAGTAGGAATAACTCATTTCATTACGAGCAACTTATTCAAGAAGCCAGAAAGCAGTGTGGTGTAGTAAACAGAGTTTTGTAGTCAGAGAGAGCTAAATTCTAGTCCTTACTCTGCTGTTCAATTGTTGTGTGACTTTGGGTAAATGATTTAGCCTCTCTGAGCCTCATTTAGTGGGTACAAAATTAATTCAAGAAAGCAACTCAAGGTAATGTAAACAAAAGTTATTTGAAAATGAATTTGGAGGAAAGAGACTTCATTCCAGTGCAAACTGGGGTGACACAGCCTGGTGTAACAGCCTGGTGTAAAACAAAGGTGTGTTCCAGAGAACAAAGGGAGGGTTTGGATTTTATAGCAAAAGTTCCTGCTCAGGTTCTCAATCAGATCCATTTATGCAAATTAAGGGTTAAAATGCTCTTAGTTCTGATTGGCTGATACAGCTGAGCCCTGTTTGGTTGGTTCAGGTGAGCTCTGAAAGTCCCAAAGTTGAGCAGAGGTGTGGGTTTTCAGGGAGCTCAAAGTGTGTGTGTGACCTTTAGTCAGCAAGTGGCTGCTTGGCTCTGTTTTAAATTTAGGCCCAGTTAGCTATTTGGAATCCATCTTGCAGGACTGGCTCTTTCTGGTTCACATTTGTTCACAGTAGTTGAGCCCTTACAGTGTGCTGGGTGCTGTTCTAGGCCCTGTGAATATGATGGTAAACTTGAGCTTCAAAGGGGAGGCCTAAACTAACAAGTGATTTTAATAAAATAAGATGTGGGCTAAGATAGGGAGAAGCATGAGAGGCATCAGGTGGTGAGGGGGAAAATACCCCATTTTAGGCCAGTGGTTCTCTGCCTCCATTGTTGAATAAGATCTCATAGAGACGTTTTTCATTTTTGTTTTGTTTTGTAAACAAACGAACAATGCCCTGGTCACAGACCAGTTAAATAAATTTCTGGAAGTGTAGCCAGGGGTCAGTAATTTTTCAGCTGCCCCAGGTGATTCTAACGTGGAGCCAGGTCTGAGGAACAGTGGTTCCTGTGGTGATCAGGATGTTTATCAAAGGAAGCTGAAGTCTTGAACTGAAGTCAGCCGGATGCACCAGAGTTGGCTAAATGAAAGGAGGAGGGAACCACATATACAAGAAAAGCCGTGTGTGTGTGTGTGTGTGTGTGTGTGTGTGTGTGTGTGTGTGTCTATGTGTATAGAGCTGGAGGGGCAAAAGATTGTGTTGTGGTACATTCTAGGGAAATGCAGCAACTGGACATAGAGCTGGAGAAAAGTGAGGCTGAAGAGTCAAGCCAGGGCAAGAACACAAGGGTGTGGAATCTCATTCCAAAGAAATGGCTTATGTAAAGGGATCTGTACTAGCGCAAAACTTGCCCTCCGTAAATGAAGGCAATGGCTATTAGCGGCAGATGCTTGAGTTCTTAGAATCATTTATTTCCAGTAAGAGAGGGACATTCTAACTATGCTTAAGGGTCATAATGGAAGACTAATTCTCAGAGCATTTTAATATGCCAGGCGTCCGAGTGGGAAGAAGAGGTTGCTGCATCTGGGTGGCTGATTTCACCCCATTCAAATTGTGCCTTCACAATATTTTTTTACTCACTATATATATATTTATTTATTTATTTTAAATATATAAATAAGTATATTTATTTATTTTAGATATATAAATAAATATATTTATTTATTTTAGATATATCAATAAATATATTCATTTATTTTAGATATATAAATAAATATATTTATTTATTTTAGATATATAAAATATATTTATTTATTTTGAATATATAAATATATTTATTTATTTTGAATATATAAATATATTTATTTATTTTGAGATGGAGTCTCATTCTGTTGCCAAGCTGGAGTGCAGCTTGGAGTGTAGCTGGGATTACAGGTGCCCGCTCCCATGCTCGGCTAATTTTTTTGTATTTTTTGTAGAGACGGGGTTTCACCATGTTGGCCAGGCTGGTCTTGAACTCCTGACCTCGTGATCCACCTGCCTTGGCCTCCCAAAGTGCTGGGATTACAGGCGTGAGCCACTGTGCCCGGCCTAGATTTTTTTTATTGTGGTAAAATATACACAACATAAAATTGACCATTTAAACCATTTTAAGTATACAGTTCAGTGGTATTAAGTACATTCATATTGTGCAGCCATCAACACCATCCATCTCCAGAACTTGTCATTCCAAATGACATCTGTACCCATTAACCTCCCATTTTCCTTTCCCCAAACCCCCGGTAACCTCTATTCTGCTTTCTTTCTCTATGAATTTGACTACTCTAAGTACATCATATAAGAGGAATCATACAGGGTTTGTCCTTTTGTGATGGGCTTATTTCACTTAGCATGATGTCCTCACTAAATTTTAATAAGTCCGTTTTTCGGACCCTGATCTCTGACCTTATAACAGCATAGGACTAGCTTAGATGTTAGGCAGCTCTTAATACTTACACACTGCATAATTCAAGATGACGCAGCAGTGTCTATAGTGTGTGCAAAAGGCTTGCTGAGTCTCCATAACAAGGGTTTCAATGTCCTGATTGATCTACTATGGCTTATCTCATCTCTTCCCTCAGAGAGCATAAGGACAACATCGGCATAGCTGTTTATCACCTTTTTGTGGGTTATTAGTCTCTCTTTCTTCAACATTATATTTTTTTGTTGAAACTTAGCTCTGTAGACTGTGTATACCTGAGTCATATAATAGACAAACACAGTGGACTTTCAGTTATCTCTTTTCTTCAAGCAGGATAGTAAATATAAACAGGAAATAATCTTAAGATAACCTTAATTTATGTTTATATTGAAGCAGGACCAACTTACATCTTCCCACCCTTGTACCATAAGGAACAGTCCAATTATATGATTGACTTATTTTCATAGTTCTCTCTATCCTCCAAAAGTTTTTTGAATAGCTCCTCAAAAGGAAGGAAACCACTTGATGTAAATCATATGAAAGTCATCATGTCTCATCAGTAGCTTAATCTTCTGGAAAGAAACTGGATTATTTTTGCTTCATCTCCTTTCCTTTCTTAAAATTTTTTTTATTTGAAAAATACTTCATGTGTTCCTAAAATGTCAGACACTGCGTGATGGCCCACAATAGAAAAAGATATAGTATCTCTCCTTGCACAATCTAACGAACTTAATACTAGTTATTGATGTACATAGTTGAGTTCTGACTCATGTAATCATCTAGTACTAAATTCACAGGATATGAAGTGAATCATGTATTCTTACACGTTTCTTTCTTTTTTTTTTTTTTTTGAGGCAGAGTATTGCTCTGTCACCCAGGTTGGAGTACAATGGCGAAATCTCAGCTCACTGCAACCTCTGCCTCCCAGGTCCAAGCAATTCTTATACCTCAGCCCCCGGAGTGGCTATGACTGCAGGTAAGCGCCACCACACCCACTTAATTTTTTGTATTTTTAGTAGAGACAGAGTATCACCATGTTGGCCAGGCTGGTCTCAAACTCCTGACCTCTAGTGATCTGCCCGCCTCCACCTCCCAAAGTGCTGGGATTACAGATGTGAGCCACTGTGCTCCACCATATGTTTCTTTTTTTTTTAATAACATGAAGGGGTAGAGCCACTTAAGGGGGCTAGCTAACTGGCAGCCAAGCTGACTCATGGGGTGGTGGAATTCCCATCATCTGGGTCTGATATTAAATTTGCAATTCTGGAAGTTTCTGTGTCAGTGTCTCACAGGATGCTACCTGAGACAAGAGGAGAAGACAGGTTCATATTAACTTATGAGCAAATGGTGTATAAATCTGATTGTTGATTTATTAATTTTTATGGAGAATATCTCTTTCCAGTTACTAAAATTATCATTTTTATCATCTAATGAACCCTTCCAGTATCAGGGTGACTGAGAGGTTGAATTAACAGTTGGGAGCTTGCTAAGTGAAGACAGAATTGAAGTAAAGTTATGTAAGTGGTTTTAAGGGATCTTTTATCCAGGCCAAGGGGCTACCTGGTAGAAATCTAAGCCCTGTAGCTAAGAGCACTTCGAGAGTGAAGCCACTGTATTTCCAAATTCAGTGTCTCACCAGTGCTGGGAACTGATTGCTAACTCTAAGTCCCCATGTCCTGTGTTTTGAGACTGATTGCTCTTCTGAGTGACACATTCTTTCATGACATATACCAATATCATCAAGGTGAAGTTATAGTCAGATCATACTCTTAAATTAGCCATTCCATCCCTTTGAAGTGACTTTGCTTATTTCTGATTTAATTCATAATGGGTTATGATTATTGGCTAAACTCTTGGAGTTTTGGGGGCTTTTCTTGTAACTCTGTCTAATCAAATTGTTCTCTTTGCCTCTGTTCTCTTACTGCGTTCAAAAAAGTGCTATATTTCTTTAGAACAGAAACATTATCCATAAATAATCTATGATTTTTTGTTAGTCCTTTCAATTCTTTAATTCATTTAACCCATTTCTACTATATTTGCCACAGACTAAATTTTAGACAAATACTTTGAACTGAATTCACTTAGGAATTCAGCCCCAAGTTTTCTGAGAAAGAAAAGCTGGTTCTTAATCATGACCTACACCCTAAGGAATTATTTTAAAATGAAATAATGTCAATAACCTCTATTTTTCACTCTTTTATCACTTTCTCAGGAATTCCTCTTTGCTCTTTGGCTGGGTCAGTTTCCTTCATTCTGGTTGCTCGTTTCCTTCTTTTTCTATGTGCCCATTCTGCAGTGCAGAAGTCTTGCCTACGCCTACTTGAGCTATAGCCATCTTGAGTTCATGGGCCCTTTTTAGAAGTCTTTGAGATGTGATAAGGTAAGCAGCCACTTGCTTTATCTGTACTAAGTCTGGGCCTTTGCCCAGATGGCTAGTCTTTATGTTTTCAAAATGGTGCCTGACCATCACACTTTTATATTATATACTTGATAATTTTATGTTATCTTCGTAGCTGTATGAAATTGAATTTCTTCTGTTCATGGACTTCTAACAGTGAGTTCATGCCCCTGGATTTTATCATCCATTTGCTACCATTGGTTGGTAACTGCGAACTATGTAGTTTAGCATTTCACACTTCCTTCCCAGGAATCTGGTGCATTGATGTAACTTTTGTCATCACTACTGATATTGCTTATTTCAGGGAAATTAATATGCTGACTAGCGGCATTTTCACTTCTCGTTTTAAAACTTTCAGATATGATGTGTTTTTAAAAATAATGGACAAGAGATGGTGTCATACAAGCACACGAAGCCTTGAAGATTAAAGTCTCAGGATTCAGAAGAGCAAATATTACAGAGTATATTTTATGTCTTGGAAAGGGAGCAGATACTATAATGAATTTTTAAGTTGGCCGTTTGTTTAGTCTCCTGAGGCCCTGGCAGTTTGCTGAGGTTACAGGGGTAAAAAGTACCTGCAGAGAGGAATTTCTCAGTCAGAAACAACATTTAAAGTAGTGGTGTGTTAATGCTTAAAAAGAAATCCTGCATGCATTTTTTATGACTTCTAGCTTTTGGAGTTGGATCTAATGAATGATGCTACAGGAGGCTGAGCCAGCTTGCCATTTTCTAGGCTCCGGCTTCCATTATTTATATTCTTTCCAGTAGAGCTTATGGCACATTCTTAAAGACTTAGTTTTGCTAAAAGTTACAGCCTAGTACTTGAATGCAGGCATGTGACAAATGTCATTAAACCTCTGTTTTTTAAAAACCCTACTATTCTTATTTCAGAATGGCCAGCCATTTCACTTAAAATCAAGTACATTTGCAAGGATTCTCAGTTCATGGGTCTGTTCTTTGAAAAAATGAGCCCTTATGTGATCAGTGTTTGATTAAATGCCCAAAGAGGACAGTTTTTAAAAATCGCACTATCAAGTGGAAATTTTTCACATAAAATTAGATCAAAACTCAAAGATAAATTGAAGATTCCATGAGTTTTTCTGACATTAGCATGGAGTAATTTGAATGTAAAAAGAGAAACCAAGTATTTTGACAGCCTTCAGGATTGGTTAAAGAAGTTCTGACCTAAATCGGAATGTAGTCCTATAAATACAGTAAACGATTTTTTAAGTTTACTGTTTTTTAAGGGGCCAGAAATATGGACATGAGGAATATGTAATGGAATCTCCCAGCAAGAAAAGAGATATGGACCCATACTCTTGGACAGGCTCACTAATTCCTGATAACCCTGTTTGATAGTGAACCCCACATAGCCTCCCTCATGCCTTCACCACAGATGCAGCTGTGTTAACATTGATGCCCAAACCATGGTAGCTGTTGTCTCCCCATTCCCTCCCTGGAATCTCCCTTCTTATTTCAGGCATCCCTAAGGTAGTGTTTGCTTGTATTTAGAAGCTTGTCCACTCAAAATTTCTGCTCGTCTCCTCGCTAAGCTCCTTTGGCTGCCAGGAGAATGCCTCCGGGAACAATGTCAGTTCTACATGGTGGTCTTTTGGTCTGTTGCAGGATAGAGTAGACTTCTCCATGCCCTTCAGTTATATGGTTAAACCTTCTCTCCATTATGATTCAGAACCAGAGCCTTGGACTGTGAAGGGCACAGACTCCATCCCATCCCATTCATCTCCTGTCATCCCTCTTCTGAGCATCCCTGCTCACCCCAGGAAAGAAATGCATCTCCTTCTTCAGTCAGACATGAGCCATCTTGATGATCAACTCACACTGATTGATTTCTACAGGGATTACTCGGTCACCACTGCTGCAAACCACAGTCTGGTTTGGACACAGGACACTCTGCTGCAAATGTAGTTTTAACTGAGAATCAGGAAATGTTAGGCACAAGGGAAGCACAAAAAATCCATGCAATAGCGAGTTTTCAGACAAGCTTAAATAACAAACAGGATTCATCCAAGGAACAATACAAACTTTTGGTTAAGCTTTGAGATTCTCTGCTGGCCATGATAAATACAAACCTTATTTATTTATCTCCTGTTTCTCTGTGCTACAACTGGACACTGTAAAAAATATAAAGACTGAAGAAACTTAAAAATAAAACACTCAATATTTTTACCATGGAGAAGTAACCCCTGAAAAAAAAAAGATCTCTGTCTATCTATCTATCTATCTATCTATCTATCTATCTATCTATCTATCATCTATCTAATCTTTCTCTCTCTCTTTCTCTCTCTCTCTCTCCCCCTCTCCCCCAGTGTGTACTCCCATACTGTCTCTCTCTCTCTTCACTTAGTAATACCTCATTAGTATATATAGATATACCTCATTTTTATGTTTTAAATTTTTAAAAATAGTTTAGCTTTTAGGTTCAGGGGTACATGTGCAGGTTTGATATATAGTTAAACTCATGACTCAGAGGTCTGGTGTACAGATTATTTCATCACCTGGGTACTAAGCGTAGTACCTGACAGTTTCTTTTTCTTTCTGATCCTCTCTCTCTTCCCAACCTCCTACCTCAAGAAGGTCCCAATGTTCCCCTTTTTGTGTCTGTAAGTTCTATTTAGCGCCCACTTATAAGTGAGAACATGCAGTATTTGGTTTTCTGTTCCCGTGTTAGTTTGCTAAGGATAACGGCCTCCAGCTTCATCCATGTTCCTGAAGAGGACATGATCTCATTCTTTTTTTATGACTGTATAGTATTCCACAGTGTATATGTACCACATTTTCTTTATCCAGTCTACTGTTCATGAGCATTTAGAGCTTTGCTGTTGTGAACAGTGCTGCATTGAACGTATGTGTGCATGTGTCTTTCTGGTAGAATGATTTATATGCCTTCGGGTATATACCCAGTAGTGGGATTACTGGGTCAAATGATACTGCTATTTTTAGTTCTTTGAGGAATCACTACATTGCTTTCCATAATGGTTGAACTAGTTTACCCTCCCACCAGCAGTGTATAAGCATTCCCTTTTCTCTGCAATCTCACCAGCATGTTATTTTTTGACTTTTAATAATAGCCATTCTGACAAGTGTGAGATGGTATCTCATTGTGTATACCTCATTTTAAACAAGTATATTATATGGTATGTTATCTAGACATATTATAATTTCATCAACTAGTCATCCATTCATGGACATTTGGATTATGAAATATTAAATTTATAAACAGGGCAATTTATTACAAGGTATGTCATAAGTAACAACTGAATGCCCACCAATGTCATTTTGCAATTTTCAGTAGAATCAAGTCTGAATACTTTCTGTTCTAAGGACTCTAGTCAATGTTCACAGCAGGAAAGAACCCTTAAGAAGCTAGCTTATGCTTATTCCATCCAAGTAAATCATTTGTGTGTTTTAATTCTGAATTAATTCAAGTGACTAGTGTTTGAGTGTAGTTGAGGGCGTAAGTTCATTTTCAAATCATACTTGGAATTCATAGCAAGAACCAGACCAATTCAATACTTTCCAATAACTAACACCTTTAATCACTGTCCTACTTAAGCTGGTAAATGATTATTCTTTGTTGCACAGTAGAAACAGAACTGTGACTAATTAATTTTCTAATTCTTCCTCCCTGCTGTTGTGCCTTCATTGCAGGCCTCTTTGAACTACAGACAACTAAAAAAGGCCCTCACACCCAGAGTTCCTACTTAGGGCACCACACTCTGAGGTCAGCAGGGGAGGACTGTTGCCCAGTGGCCCCATACTGTTCAGCTTGGACTAGACACCAGGGGCTTATGAGAATGAATCCCATCACGCCTCACAGTCCACTGGAAGGGCTTCCATATTGTTCATACCCTCTGTTATCATTCTGTGCTTCTGCTCATCTGACCCAGTTTCTGTTCCTCCCCAACCTCTACCTTCTTCCACATGCCCTTTGGAACTTAAGGTCGGTCACAGCAAACTCTCCTGCATCCTCAAGTCTCCTCAACTGCTGTGCTGAACATCTTTCCCACCTGGACCTAATTGAAACTGGGGTGCTTCCTACAGACACCATCTCCTCCACAGCCCTCTCCCATGGATGCAGTTTATTATTGCGATTTCTCACACTACAAGTACTGCAGCCCTGGGGATGGGGTGAGTGTCCTCCTAGCACCCTACTGCTGCTTCCCAACCTTATCTCCTCTTTCTTCCTTTAGACACCCAGCTCCTTTGAATCTCATGGCCTCTGACTTTCCCACCCCTCCCCCTTTCCCCCTTCCAGTTACTACAACCTCCTGGTTCCTCCTCATTCACTGCTGACCACAGACTGCTTCACTGTCTTCCTGTCACTACTCTCTGTCTTCATTCTTGGTGATTTGCACCCAGCACCCAAGTCTCTCTGATCCTGGATTGGTTCTCCCTACCTCACCCACCATTCCCATGGTCTAATGTTGATCTTTATAATAACTGGACTATTCCCAAAATCTCTACTGTAGCATTCATCTCCCAACCAGGCTCTTCTATGCCTCCAGCCTGTGTGCTCTGGTTCTCCCATTCCAACAGTGCCTCAGTTCCATTGGGACCTCTCATCCATGGACCCACCTCTCTCTCTCTGTTTCTTTACTGTCATGCTTTCTGCTCCTGTGGTTGGTTCTCTCCATATCCAACTTAGATCCCTTGGTTTTTCACTATAACCATACTTCTACAAATATCCTTATCCTCTTCCTCTCTCCCTCCTCTCTCTCTCTCTCAAACCTGTATAAACTGGGAACCTGAACAGCTGAATAATATGGAGGAAATACCTCTCAAACGTGTTAGCTAGTCTGTCTGCGTGGTGTATAGCCATGCACCATCATTGTACTTTATTTCCTTAATATGTTAGTATTCTCATTCTCTGAAGTGACGATTTCACTTCTTTTCTTCTCTCCTAAATTCTCTCCCCTTGGTTTTGATCTGATGGTCTTGCCTTATACAGTGCTTAGTAAAAACAAGTAAGAAAGCAGGAGCCCCTCTTCATTCCATCATGGCTCCATTACATAACTTCCCTCCATCTGTAACCATAGTCTCCATCCATTCCTGTCTGTGGAGGAGGTGTCCCTGAGCCTGTCAAATGCCAGCCTCTCCTCACATGCCCTGGTCCCATCCTCTGTCATTTGTTGGGGACACGGCTTCTGTAGTAGTTTGCCTTGGCAGCCAATGCAAGTTGATGAGTTTAGGAAAATTATGTAATTTCTCCATGCCTCAGTTGTCCCATCTGTAAAATCTGGAGTTAATGCTATCTCCTTCACAGAGTTGTTGTGAAGGTTAAAGGAGTAAGTTTCTGGGAAATGCTTAGAACAGGGTGTGGCCTGCTGCTGTGGTGACTCTGTCCCACGTTTAGCCTCTCCCTCTCTCCTAGATCCTTCCCTTCGGCATGCAGATATGCCCAAGAGATTTCATTTTTTTCAACAGACGCAAAGAAAACCTTCCATACTCCCCATCCCCAGCCCGTTAGCTACCACTCTGTTGCTCTGCTCCTCTTGACAACAGAGCTTCCTGAAAGGGTCATCGGTGGTCTCCGCACCCTCCTCTCTTGGTCTCTCCTCAGCTTGGTCCACCTGTACCTCTGCTCCCACCACTCTGGTAAGGTGGCCTCTGTCAGGTCACTGCTGAGTGACCAAAAAACCCATTGTAGTTTCTAGATTCTTCTCTTATTTCTAGACATCTCGATGTCTTTGCTTCAGTTGTCTTAGTCCATTTGGGTTGCTATAATACCATAGACTGAATGGCTTAAACAACAAAAACTTATTTCTCACAGTTTTGGAGAGTGGAAGTCCAAGAGCAAGGCACCAGCTGATTGGTTTCTGGCGAGGGCCTGCTTCCTAGCTTACAGATGGCAACTTCTCACTGTGTCCTCACAAGGTGGAGACCAGAGAGAGGAGGCAAGCTCTGATGCGTCCTTTGATACGGGCACTAATCCCATAGCGAGGGCTCCACCCTGATGACCAAATCACCTTCCAAAGGTGCCATCTCCACATACCATCACAGTTGTCTATTCTCTTCCTCAGAAAACATTTTCTTCTCTTGCTTCTGGGACACATTATGCTGTATTTCACTTCTCTCAAGGCCCGCTTCCCACTGTGATTTGCTGACTCCACTCTTGCTTGATGTGTCACTGTGGAGTGTTCTAGGGCTTGTCACTGTCTCTAAAGTTCTTATCTAGTCCCATGGTTTTAACCATCAGCAGGGTCCGTCTCTATAACCATCATTTCCAAATCTATCTTTCCATTCCTGATCTTCCTTCTGGGCTCTAGATTTATATACCCAAATTGATGTGTTTCTATATGAATGTCTAGTAGGTGTAACTGGAGTTTGTTGAGTCTCACGTCATCAAGACAAACACAAAATAGTTTTATCTAATTTATTTAACTGATTTTAGTTGTGCTGGCTTGACTCCTACTCTTTTGCTGGTTAGTGGCTCCCTTAACATTATCCTGGCCCAATTCCATAATTATTCAATCATTTTCAGTTATTAAAACTTAATCTAGTCCAATCCAAAACTTCAGTCCTTAAATATAGCTTCTTACCTCTTGGCTTCTCTCTTCCTTCCAATGAAATCTGAAGCTGTGGTCCTGGCTGCTTTGAGTCCAGAGGGGTTGTGATCTCGCTTGAGACACTAGCTCACTCTTCCTTGGGGAGAGGCAGAGGTGAGGTATAGAGGAGTGAAAGGTTTCATGAAGGAAGCACCCTTCCTTGGCCTCTTCTCCTGATGTGGTCTTTCCTTTGGCAGCACTAATCTTTGCCCTGTCACTGATACCCCTCAGAGAGCTGGGTATCTCACTGAGTAGGCAACCCATGGCTCGCACCCTTCTGTTCACTTACCTGCTTCTCCACAAGGAGCTGAAAGAACCTCTGTTGTCCTCCTCCACACCCTCTGAGCACTTAGAGAACTTGAAAGGGTTGGGGGATGCCCATTTTCTCCCTCAGCACTTGATGCCACAACCCCTTTATGTCCTTTGGATACAGGCTATACCAGAAGACCACCTGGCTCAAGAAAAGTCTAGACCAGAAGTGGGCACCAGTCTCTAGAAGACCAGAGACTTCAGGGGCAGATGTCAAGCTGTCCTCAGATCTCATTCACCACACTCTGCTCCACCAGTATCTCCTAATAGGCTTGCAGCAAGCAATCAGTCAGGGAACAAAAGATTGGTATCCTTCTTGCAAAGGCAGCTCAAAGTGATGCTGCTCCATTGTGAGTTTCTCTTGAAGCCTCCCATCACTTACTTGCCTTAAGCTAGGAAAAGCACCCCCTCCCCAGAAGGAGAGTCTCTCCACCATCACTGCTCTGTCCACAGGGCCAACCTCCCAGTCCCTCTAGTCATTCTCTTATGACTTCAGGTAGGAGGAAGGGAGTTGGAAGGTGGTGGATGAGTTCTGGCTTCTCTTAGTGAGCCCTGTGGGGATCATCTTGGGTCACAATGCTGGTGGTTCATTGGTGACTATCTTTAGAATGTGGGGTCCTGAGGACCTTTTCTTTTCAGTACAAGTCTTGCTGGCAATTCCAAGATAACAAGAGAATATTCCCCCCAACTGTCTGTTAGATTAGCACCTCATAGTCAACACAGCCAAAAGAGAACTCTAGTGTTCTCCCCAAACTGCTTCTCTGCTGGAACTTCTTAATTTCAGTAATTTCACCGTAATCCGATGCAAGTCAAAAATCTAAAGTGTCACCATTGGTAATGGTTAGATATTGGCACAATAATACTGAGTAACAAAATGCACTGAAAACTCAGGTATAAAACAGCTCTTTTTCTCATGGGGCTGCCAGGCAGCCAGGGCAGTTCTGCCAATTGAAGCTGGTTTGTTCACATGCCTGCAGGTTGGGTGGGGACTGGCTGATGCAGGCTCTGTGGACTGGGCAGCTTGGCTTCATGTGGCAGGGTGGTGTGGGGACATTCTGCCCTTTGTCTCTCATTCACCTCTTGGGACCAGACACCAATAGGCAACGGCAGAGCACAAGAGGTGTACCTATGTATTTGAGCACACTTCTTGTGTCACATCCACTAATATCTCATTGACCAAAGAAAATTTCATGGCAAACCCAAAGTCCAGGGGTGGGAAATATACTCTCTCTTTCATGGGTGGCACTGCAAAGTTACATGTCAAAGGACATGAGAGAGAGAGAGAGAGAGAGAGAGAGAGAGTGTGTGTGTGTGTGTGTGTGTGTGTGTGTGTGTGTGGCAGAGTGAGGCTAATAACTTAATGTACCACATCATTCTCTGACATCTCACACCTGTTACGTCTTCACCCACCATGCTCTAGATTGTGTGGGGCCTTCCTTCTGTTCCTTGCACACAGCAAATGCCTTCCCACCCTAGGGCTGTTTGCACAACTTTATGCTATGCAATCAATTTATTGACAGTTTTAGCATTAAAGTTTGCTTTCCAGAGGACTCCAGTGATATGACAGCTATTCCTTTTCTTTCTTTATATTTTAAGCCCTTGATTTTATTTTTGATGATCTATACCCTTAGAGCACTCATTGACTTGAGGATAGATGTGAAAGCCTTTCAGATTCACTGTCGAATCAATAAAACACTTTTATTTTCCTCTAAATACCATGAAACCTGTCAAAAGATGAAAAACAAATTAATTTGCTCTACATTTGCTCAATAGGAATCGTGGGCAGTAGGCAGAACACCATGAGGAAGAAACCAATGTAATGGGACTTAAGAATTTAGGAGTTGAGATGCCTTGGACTTTGTGAGCCTCTAAATTTAATGGATGTCATTTTCTAAGCATTTTAAAGCTAATTTTGTTTTTCTTTATTCACATTACAACATAGTCTGTGATTAATGAGTGTTAATTTTTGTAGTGCATGGCAGGCATCTCGTTTAGTGTTTGGTGACCCTGGAGGAGCAAGGTTTGCAAAGATGGAAGGACAAATAGAAAGTACAAGTGTGGGGTAGGGGTTTCGTTCAGGAGACACTTCAGCCCCAAGTTCGGGAATGGAAGGGACTGGTGGGGAGAATTCAAGTCATTGTACTTTTTGCTTCTGAGAGAACAAAACAAGAGACTTCTGGGGCCTTGGAGGGAAGGCATGTGGCTTCCTTGTTCTGCTGGGTTAGGGGGAGAGTGCAAGAGCCAGTTTCCTATAACAGCTTTACAGTAGGGTCCTGGAAGCCCTGGCCCAAGGCAGGAGGGGGAGGTGTATTGTCTTCTACGCAGCTGAGAAGCACATTATAATTGTCATGACAACTAACATAGTGACAGTCAGCATAATTGGGTGATTTCTGCAGGTCAGGCATCATGAGACACTAGCTTTCACTCCCCCCGGGAGGAAGCAGAGATGACAAAAGGGCTTTCGAGGTATTGGGCCCTTTGGTCTCCAACAGGGGCCCAAGGTTACGATGGCTCACCTATTGTTCCCAACCCAGCTGTCTGTTTCTGCCACAGTGGCGGGTAAATGCTTTACCATCAGAACTCATTTAAACCTTACAATAAGCCTGGGCAGTAACTACTATTATTCTCATTTCCACTTTAAAAAGGAGTTAATGCAAGAGCAAACAGTTGTTGAAAGACAGGCAACTGGCAAGTGATGGAGTCAGGTTTGAGCTGAGGTCTGTCTGAGTAAGCACCTGTGTGCTTACTCACTGTGCTCCACTGCCTAGAGCAGACAGGTGGAGGGTCCGGGTAAGAGGCTCTGGGACCCACTCTAGTGCTGTGGACTCCTTTTACTACACCCTTAGGGAGTGCAGAACAGTACCTGGAGCTTCAGGATGGCGGCAGTCATCCAGGAAGGAACAGAGAGACTCAGCTGACAAACTACTACTGTCTGCATTTCGACTCTTCTAGGAGGGAAGGATGCTGTGACTGTGATGACTATGGCGAGGGGAATTTACCCACCACTGTGGCAGAAACAGAGAGCTGGGTTGACAGCTGGGTTGGGAACAATAGGTGAGCCATCGTAATGTTGGGCCCCTGTTGGAGATCAAAAGGCCCAGCACACTTGAACCTGGCTAAGTTTTATCAACTAAGAAGCACATGCTCTGGCTGGGCGCAGTGGCTCACGCCTGTAATCCCAGCACTTTGGGAGGCCGAGGTGGGTGGATCACTTGAGGTCAGGAGTTTGAGACCAGCCTGGCCAACATGATGAAATTCCATCACTACTAAAAATACAAAATTAGCCAGGCCTGGTGGTGCGCGCCTGTAATCCCTGCTACTCAGGAGGCTGAGGCAAGAGAATCGCTTGAACCCGGGAGGCGGAGGTTTCAGTGAGCCGAGATTGCACCACTGCACTTCAGCCTGGGCAACAGAGCGAGACTCCCCCTCAAAAAAAAAAAAAAAAGAAAAGAAAAAGAAGAAGAAGCACATGCTCACAATTACCTGTTACACAGTGTTATTATTATTTATTCAACAAGGGTTGACTTGGAGCAGGTGCCCTGTGTTCTTATATAATATTTCTATTACTATCCAGGGATGCAGCTGCACTGCAGCATAGCTCTGTGACCTCAGAGCAGATGACCCCTGGTGGGTCTCAATATGTCTCACTGTGGCCCTGTCCTGTCAGTCATCTCCCCTCTGGTGCCTCCCTCTCCATTCCTGGGGATGTCAGAGAGCAGGAGGAATGGGGAGCACTCCAAAGGCAGGACCCAGGGTGGATGAAATTGGTAAATGTGAGGGCAATTTGGAAGCAGCTGTGATTTTCCTTCTACTATTGGTCTGGCTTTGTCCTATTCTTTGCTCCCTGACTGACTGGCTGATGTGGAAGACCAGGAATAGCAGAAGCAGGTAACACTGATTAGTTCTGCTTAAATATTCTGCAGTGCCTGCTGTTGCTACCGGCCCGCACCCTTCCTGCCCTTGGCATCATATGGATGTTATCAAGATCCAGTGAGATGATGTGGATGAGCCTATTTGGTAAACTATAGTCCCAGCTGTAAGGTAATCCTAAAGCTTGTGGAAGACTCTATCACTTATAAACCTTCGGTAACTCTCCCTGGGGAAGAGTTATTCATCCGCCCCCTCGTTGATGGCAGGCCTGGTAATGTGACTTGTTTTGGCCAGTGATATGTAAGCAGGGCCATTTCACAATTCTAAATGCATACATATTTCAAAAATACATACATATTTCAAAACATGTTTTGTCTATTAAAATAAATGAAAATTTAAGAACAAAACAAAAAATACAAAACCCCATATGAGTGGAAATGATGTGTGTCATTTCTGGGCAGAAGCTTGAAGAGCCCCCGCGTGGTTAGTTATGTTCTGCCTCTGGGTTTGTCAGGATGGAGCCTCTGGCTTGAATTTCCTGGTGATTTCCATGAGCAAGCAAAGCTCATTGCTGACCCATAATAGATGTGCACCTGGGGAGAAATAAGTATTGTTTTAAGCTGCTGAGACTTTTCAGGTTGTTCGATACTGCAGGGTAACCTAGCCTATCCTGACTGATACACACCTAAGCCCCGGAAGTCTTAGGATGTTTTTGGAAATTAATGTTCTGTTGTAAAATGTAAATGCTAATGTCAATAACTAGAGTTGAAACAAGGAAAACGCAAGGAAAAAACATCCTTGGTTTCTGTTTGAACAGAGGAGAAAACTGCCCTTTTAACCCATTGTTGTATCTTTTCTTTTTTTCCACATATTATGCTTTGGTCTTTCACTGGAGTTTGGTCTTTAACTGACATATGCACATCTCAGCGTGCAGTTAATGCAATACAGTGCATTTATTTTATGTTGTATTTACCTTTACTGTACAAGTTTGGTTTTATATTGGTGTTAGGGGATATGGTAAAACTGACTATTGTCTTTAAAAAATCATTGTATACGTTTGTACTCCAGTATCTTTTCATGTAGTATCACTTGTTGAAAAATACACCGTAGGAAATAGAATAGCTTGTTTGAAGGGCCGTTAATGTCACCACTTTATAAGAAAATTATGCAATTTAGAAATTAGGAAAAAGCCTATTTATTTTTAAAGATCTATTTTTTAATAATTG
The DNA here is from genome assembly GCF_000001405.40 of Homo sapiens. Lineage (NCBI taxonomy): Eukaryota > Metazoa > Chordata > Mammalia > Primates > Hominidae > Homo > Homo sapiens. The sequence goes on along the minus strand of NT_187541.1, from coordinate 67,561 downwards.
AAGCTACCTGAAACTATCATGCATTTATTTTTAAGTAAGAAGAAATTAATTTATTAAGTAATATTTATTAATCTTGTAATATTAATGTAAAATATTACCACCATTAAAATTATTTCTCAAAATAAATGATGAACAATTTTTCTAGCAAATTTTTATTCCAAGGGAGGTATATGGGATTTTTTGAAATCATGTGACTTGACCAGGGAAGAATAGGGTGAATGACTTTACAAGGTTGCTTCATATATGTTTATGTGTGTGTGTAGTCTTGTGTGTGTGTGTGTGTGTGTGTGTGTACAGAGAGAAAGAGAGATTCATTATTTTTACATTGTCTTCTAGGATTTTTACTGTATTCTTGCACAGAGAGCACAAGAACAATATCAAGAAACATGCAGCTTTCTAAGGTGTGCATTTACCATGGACAGTTCTTAACAGTTTTAAAAGAAAGTCATTGACAGAGTCATTTGAAATTTTTGATTTGAAATTCAGGCTAATCCCTTCTAAATGTTTTCTATGGTGGAAGGCAACAGGGTGTGGTGAAAGCACATAGGCTTTGAAGACATATAGACTAGAATCTGAACCCCATGGTTACCACTTGTTGGTTATATTTATTTGGTCAAGTAAATTTACTTATGCCTGTCCATTGATAAAATGGACTTCCTAGTACCTTTCTCATTGAGCTGCCATAGATTAAACAAAATAAAAAATAGTTTTTGATTTTTTTCTTATTCAGGATACTTAGAACAGTGCCTGACATTTAGTACATATTCAATAAATAGTTGTTGAATGAATAAATGACTGAATGAATAGCACAGGTTAAAAATACTAAAACTGTTATATAAACCCTATGAGTGCATCTGTTTCTGGGTCTTCTATTCTTTCCTACTGCTTGGTCTATTCCTGGAGCATCACTGAATCAGGCAGGGCAATCACTTGTCAGAAATTAGTAGCATCTGTGAGCACTGTGTGTATGTGTGCACGTACCTGCACATGTGTGTTCTTAACGCTGTTAATTTCATGACACAAACGCATTTGATGTGGTCAGTACATCTTCATGTATTTAATTTACATATGAGTCATGTATTTACCACGGCTGATATCAGACTGGCCATAGATTACTCTATCTAAGAATAAGTGCATGAATGAACTAGACTATGAGACAAGTAATGGAAACATTTTGAAAATCAAGGATAATCATCACTGTATGGTAGACGCACCTGAAAGCATAACTTAAACATACCCCGTATGGCAGATACACCTGACAGCAATCACTTAAGAAATGAGGGTTGCCATGAAGAGGTTGCTAAGGGGAGAGTGCTAAGTAAAAATGCTATATAAATTGCTTGCATTTCATAAGCGGTTGTGGTTCTTTTCGTCCAGCCCACCACTACTGGGCCACCCTGTAAGTTCCTCCAAATAAGCCCTATTTTTTCTTCACTGGCTGCAGGTCTTTTATTTGGCCTCTTGAACCTGGTGCCATCCCTGTTGGAGTTAATAGGGGTCCAGTGCTACAATAGCCAAGCAGCTGAGGGCCATAGAACTTAAAAGCAGCTCAATTTATGTTTTATTTCCTTTATGTTTGGTTTTGTTAGAGCAGTATTCTGAGAGCTCATTTCTGCTCATGCCTCCCTTTTACAGCCTAGACTTTTATATGAGGAATAAAGGCCCAGAGAAAGGAAAGAATGAGAAATGCAGAATACTTTTGCCAGTAAGAAGTTAGACGTCTAAAAGGAGAGACACACCACAAAAATGTATTACCCAATTAGTGAATACATTTCAAAATGTGGAGCACATGTCAATTATTTCCAGTTGATTAATGGTACAGTTGAGTTTAACCTGACTCTTCTGCCTGCTGGATCTGTTCATTTCTAAAGTCTCCAGCTATAAGCGGATACAAATATTTTTCCTTGAGGTTCTATCCATTTTCGCTTCACATTTTGACACTTTTTTAGGCATATACACATTAAGGATTGTTATGTCTTCTTTGATTATTGACCGATTTATCATCATGTAATATCCCCTTCTATTCCTGACAATTTCCCTTGCTGTGAAGTCTGCGTTGTCTGAAGTTAATATAGCTACTCCTGTTTTCTTTTGATTACCCTTAGCATGGTATGTCTTTCTTTACCCATTTACTTTTTTTTTTTTTTTTGGTGGGCTCTAGAGTTTGTGGCTCCAGACTAAATTCCAGGTAAATGCTTCCTGGAGTGAGAAAGGGTAGAGAGGTTGCACAGTTTTGTGCCTCCTGGGATACAGTGTGTCAGGTTCATCACTATGCCAAATGCCCTGCTTGGGTTCAGGTTCCAGCCCATGCTGAGGTTCGAGGGGAGTAGGCAGATGGGCATGTAGCTGAAAGAACACGCAGGGGGGCCGTAAGCAGGTGAAATGTAGTTTTATTCATTCAGCAGCTCTCTCATCAGCAGCTTACTCCCACTAGCTCTCTCACACTGAGCTTTGTCTCTGCTGTCTGCTCCAGCCCTGCGGCTCCTCTCAGCAGCTGGCTCCCACACACAGCTGTGTGGCTGGCTCTCCCCTGCCTTCGGGGTCAGCAGCTTAACTCTTTCTCTCTCTCTGGGCACGAGCCAAGCCATGCTGTGCCCTGGCTCCCCTCTGTCTGTCTGAAAAACGGACAACTTTGACTCCCTCTCTTTCTCTGGGCACCAGTGCCTGTACAGTGTCAGCAGGGCAGTTATACCTTTTACAGACATTACTGGCTTAGAGCCAAATGATGAGCCTTCCCATGTTATGGCTACATGGCTGTGATAACAAGTGGAGTTATGCATCTGCACTCTAGACTTGCTGAGTCACTTTGGATGTTTACCTCGGCTTATGCTTGACTAAAGCACAGCCATGTTCCTTACAGGGTGGATGGGCAAAGTGAAGAGAAAAATGAAGAAATTGCAATTTGTGTCAAAATGTTATGGTCTCAACCAGATAACTCTCAGAATTAGACAAGTGGCTTTTCTACTCATTCTTCCACTCATTCAATAAGCATTCACCAAATGCTGAGTCTGTGCCAAATACTGTACCAAGAGATAAGATACAAAGATAAATGCTTCACGGAGCTAATGGGAAACTATTTTTTTGTTATTATTATTTCAATAATTTGGTGGAAACAGGTGGTATTTGGTTACATAGATAAGTTCTTTAGCTGTGATTTCAGAGATTTTGGTGCACCCATCACCCAAGCAGTATACACTGCACCCAATGTGTAGTTTTTTATCCCTCATCCCCCTCCCACTCTTCCCCATCCAAGTCCCCAATGTCCATTATGTCATTCTTATGCCTTTGCTTCCTCATAGCTTAGCTACCCTTATAAGTGAGAACATACAATGTTTGGTTTTCTATTCCTGAGTTACTTCACTTAGAATAATGGTCTCCAACTCCATCCAGGTTGCTGCAAATGCCATTATTTCGTTCTTTTTTGGCTGAGTAGTTTTCCATGGTGTGTGGAATATATATCAGATTTTTAAAATCCACTTATTGATTGATGGACATTTAGGCTGGCTCCATATTTTTGCAATTGTGAATTGTGCTGCTATAAACATGCATGTACAAGTATCTTTTTCATATAATGACTTCTTTTCCTCTGGGTAGACACCCAGTAGTGGGATTGCTGGGTCAAATGGTAGTTCTACTCTTAGTAGAATAGCAGTGTAAAAGTGTTCCCTTTTTACCACATCCGCACCAACATCTATTTTTATTTATTTTTTGATTATGCCCATTCTTGCAGGAGTAAGGTGGTATCACACTGTGGTTTTAATTGGTGTTTCCCTGATCATTAGTGATATTGATCATTTTTTCATGTTTGTTGGCCATTTGTATATCTTCTTTTGAGAATTGTCTATTCATGTCCTTAGCCTACTTTTTGATGGGATTATTTGTTTTTTCTTGCTGATTTGTTTGAATTCCTTGATTCTAGATATTAGTCCTTTGTCAGATGTAGAGTTTGCAAAGATTTTCTCCCACTCCGTGGGTTGTCTGTTTACTCTGCTGATTATTTCTTTTGCTGTGCAGAAGCTTTTTGGTTTAATTAAGTCCCATACATTTATCTTTGTTTATGGTGCATTTACTTTTGGGTTCTTAGTCATGAACTCTTTGCCTAGGCCAATGTCTAGAAGAGTTTTTCTGATTTTGTCTTTTAGAATTTTTATGGTTTCTGGTCTTAGATTTAAGTCTTTGATCCATCTTGAGTTGATTTTTGTATAAGTGAGAGATGAGGATATAGTTCCATTCTTCTACATGTGGCTGCCAATTATCCCAGCACCTACCCATTTACTTTTAATCTATATCTGTCTTTATATTTAAAGGGGGTCTCTTGTAGATAATGTATAGTTGGGTCTTGATCTTTGATCCACTCTGACGATCTTTGTCTTTTAATTGCTATATTTAGACCATCGACATTTAGGTTGGTTATTGATAGAGTTACATTAATATCTACCATATTTGTTATAGTTTCCTATTTGTTGCCCTTGATCTTAGTTTCTATTTTTGTTCTCCAAACTTTTTCTGCCTTTTGTGGTTTTTAATTGAGTGTGTTATGATTCCATTTTCTCTCCTTTCTTAGCATGTCAATTATATATTTTTAAACTTGTTTCTAGTAGTTGCCCTAGAGTTTGTAATGTACATTTGCAGGTAATCCAAGCCCACTCTCTCAACACTATACCACTTAATGGCAAGTACTTTATAATAACAAAATATTCCTAATTCCTTCCTCTCCTTCAAATCATTTTTGCCATGAAATTTGTTACTAAAACATCACACTCTATGAGTTTTTTTCATGCCAAACAAAAAGTAGAAACAAACAAAACCCCATGTACTGTTTCCCAAAGAACTGTAAGGAAATTAATTTTTTTCTCTTTGACTGTCTTAATTCCATCAACATCTTTCCTAAATCAGTTAGCAGTAAAGTGCTTCTGGTTGCCCCACTAGGGTGTATAAATGAGTAGGTTTTATAAATGGTCAAAATTAGAATCCAAATATTTAACTTACACATTTTAAACTTAAATATGGATTAATCTGACAGTACACATCTGAAGCCTATAAACTCTATAACTGCTTTTCTTAGCTTTGCTCAGCAGCTTCTCATTGGAGCCAAAATCTGAACCTCAGATTATTTCAAGACAAACGTCATTCTCATGGATAAAAGGTCACTGCCAGGATATCTCAATTTTATATGATCCTGTGATGTGATTATGTCAAGAATGGGGGTAGATAATGTGGATTCAGAGTGTGAGAGGCGATAGAGATCCTTGGGAATAATAAAAGTCGTTTGTTCAGAGAACAGAGTGGATTTTATCCTCAGACTTATTCTTTACTCATGTTGTATCATCCAGTGAGTTGTCTATATTCCTACCACTTTATTATTTTTTAAATATATTTTTATTTCAATAACTTTTGGGGTCCAAGTGGTTTTTGGTTACATGGATGAATTATGTAGTAGTGAATTCTGAGATTTTAGTGCGCTTGTCACCCAAGTAGTGTACATTGTACCCATGTGTAGTTTTTCTTTATCCCTCACTCCACTCCCACCCTCCTCCTACTATATCCAAAGTTCATTACATCACTTTGTATGCCTTTGCATACTCACAGCTCATCTTCCACTTACAATCAAGAACATACGGTATTTAGTTTTCTATTACTGAGTTACTTCACTTAGAAAAATGGATTACAGGCACGATTAATAGTTGCTGCAAAAGACATTATTTTGTTCCTTTTTATGGCTGAAGAGTATTCCGTGGGTGTATATATAGATGCCATATTTTCTTCATCCACTCATCAGTCAATGGACACTTAGGTTGGTTTCGTATCTTTGCAATTGTGAATTGTGCTGTAATAAACATATGTATGCATGTGTCTTTCATATAATGACTTCTTGTCCTTTGGGTAGATATTCAGTAGTGGGATTGCTGGATTGAATGGTAGATCTACTTTTAGTTCTTTAAGGAATCTCCACACTGTTTTCCATAGAGATTGTACTAATTTACATTCCCACCAGCCATGTATAAGCATTCCCTTTTCACCACATCCATGCCAACATCTATTGTTTTTTGACTTTTTAATAATGGCCATTCTTGCAGGATTAAGGTGGTATCTCATTGTGGTTTTAATTTGCATTTCCCTGATTATTAGTGATGTTAAGTACTTTTTCATATGTTTCTTGGCCATTTGTATACCCCCTTTTCTTTTGAGAAATATCTACTCATATCATTTGCCCACTTTTTGATAGATTATTTTTTTCTTGCTGATTTCTTTGAGTTCCTTGTAGGTTATGGATACAAGTCCTTTGTCAGATGCATAGCTTGCAATATTTTCTCCCATTCTGTGCGTTATCTGTTTCCTTTGATAACTATTTCATTTACTGTGCAGAAGCTTTTTAGTTTAATTAGATCCCATTTATTTATTTTTGTTTTTGTTGCATTTACTTTTGGGGTTTTAGCCATGAATTCTTTGCCTAGACCAATGCCCGAAACAGTTTTTCCAATGTTATCTTCTAGAATTTTTATGGTTTCAGGTTTAGATTAAGTCTTTCATCCATCTTGAGTTGATTTTTATTTAAGGTGAGAAATGGGGATCCAGTTTCATTCTTCTACACGTGGCTTGCCAATTGCCCCAGCACCATTTGTTGAATAGGGTATTCTTTCCCCAATTTATGTTTTTGTTTGCTTTGTCGAAGATCAGTTGGCTGTAAGTATTTGGCTTTATTTCTATGTTCTCTATTCTGTTCCATTGGCCTATGTGCCTATTTTTATACCACTATTATGTTGTTTTGGTAACTGTAGCCTTGGAGTATAATTTGAAGTCTGGTAATGAGATGCCTCCAGATTTGCTCTTTTTGTTTAGGATTTCTTTGGGTATGCGGGCTCTTTTTTGGTTCCATATCAATTTTAGGATTGTCTTCTCTAATTCTGTGAAAAAATAATGTTGGTAATTTGATGGGAATTGTATCAGATCTATAGATTGCTTTGGGCAGTATGGTGATTTTCACAACATTAATTATTCCAATCCATGAGCATGGGATATTTTTCCATTTGTTTGTATCATCTGTTATTTCGTTCAGCAGTGTTTCGTAGTTCCCCTTGTAGAGATTGTTTACCTCCTTGACTAAGTATATTCCTAGGTATTTTACTTTTCTTGCAGCTGTTGTAAAAGGAATTGAGTTTATTGGTTTTTTTGTTTTGTTTTTGAGATGGAGTCTCACTCTGTCACCCAGGCTGGAGTGCAGTGGCGCAGTCTCGGCTCACTGAACCTCTGCCTCCTGGGTTCAAGCTATTCTCCTGCCTCAGCCTCCCGAATAACTGGGATTACAGGCACGCACCACCATGCCTGGCTAATTTTGAGTTCTTGATTTGATTCTCAGCTTGGTTATTGTTAGTGTATAGAAGTGCTACTGATTTGTGTACACTGATTTTGTAACCTGAGACTTTACCAAATTCATTGATCAAATCTGGGAGTCTTTTTGAGCAGTCTTTAGGGTTTTGTAGGTATATCATTGGCAAACAGTGATAGTTGGACTCCCTCTTTTCCAATTTGGATATTCTTTATTTCTTTCTCTTGCCTGATTGCTCTGGCTAGGACTTCTAGTACTGTGTTAAATAGAAGTGGTGAAAATGGGCATCTTGTCTTGTTCCAGTTCTCAGTGTGGAATGCTTTCAACTTTTCCCCATTCAGTATGATGTTGGCTGTGGGTTTGTCATATATAGCTTTTATTATTCTGAGTTAAGTCCCTTCTATGCCTAGTTTGTTGAGAATTTTTCTCATAATGGGCTGCTGGATTTTATTGTTTTTCCTGTGTCTATTGAGATGATAATATGGTTTTTGTTTTTAATTCTGCGTATGTGATGTACCACATTTATTGACTTGCATATGTCAAACCATCCCTGCATCCCTGGGATGAAACCCACTTGATCATGGTGTATTGCTTTTTTGATGTTTCCCACCACTTTAAATCAGAGGTTGGCCCATGCGCCATTTCTGGTCTGCAGGTATGTTTTGAAAATTTGCTAACATTTAAATACTTAAGGATCTTCATAAAAATAAAAATCAAGTTTTTGGCTTCTCTTTAAAAAACTAAAAGCAGCAGCTGGATCAGAATAATGTGTACCCCCATAGACAAGCTTTGAGGTCTCCAGGTCCTCAGTCTCCCCACTCCCTAGTGTCTTATATCTTTCCTGTTCCATTCATTCATATTACATGTGGGTCATGTGAGATCAGATACCTTTAAGAAGGTTGCAGTAAACCAGCTTGCCTCTCTTTCAAAAGCTATTGGGTAGCTTACTCAGAACAACAGGCAAAAACACTGAAAATTAGTCAATTTTAGGCATTATTTACAAATAAAATAGGAAAGAGGGGTTCTATTGGAATGAATGTTGTGTGTACAACAGACATACAAACAAACAAAAACTCCACCTTGGGGAAATACAGGCCCATCCTTAGGTAAAAAGATTCAGTCTCTGAAAGACAACTGAATTTTGTAACTCTATATTTGCCTTTCTACTTGAAATTTAGAGACCTTGTAGATCTTATTAAACCAAGCATAAGTAAGTGAGCTCCTTACCCACTCTGAGGACTCATCAATACCAGTAGATGATGTGGACAAGTTCTAAGGTATAAACAAAATAGGAGGGAGGAAATGACTAGGTAGGAAATGAAAAGAGTGAGAGAAAGAGAGAGAGAAGGGGAAAAAGAGAACTAAAGGAGAGGGAAAAGAATAGAAGAAGTGAGCCTCATAAGGGTTCCAATACTTCTTATTTCGGAGCCAGTTTTAAGATTCATTTTTGTTTTGGACTGTTATCGTTAATTAATCCACCAGGTGGTGCTCTGAAATACCAAATAAACTTCAGTCTTTAATTTTAAAAATTACATTTACTACACCTTCCACCTATTATCGAAGGTGGAAAAGATACATGGCCAACCACCCTTTATTTGAAAATATTTATACTGTATAAAAACATACAAGATTTGTATTTGAAAGATGACATTTAGGAGGAAAACTAGAGATTGCTGTTTAAATTATTTTTTATTTTCTTGGATATAAAGTATACAATTTTAAAAATCAAGAGAATTGCAATAAATATTTGGACCAAAAAAATCTATATGTTTACATATCCTCCTTGAAGTTCCTTAGGACTGACACTGGCTCCATTGGAGCCGTCGGCCCCCACTGTGTGTCTGTGAAATGCTGTGGAATACTGTGAAAAGTTCATGGGAGGAGTCTAGTTTTCTGGATCCAACCTGGCCTCACCAAACACACTCTAGCCCTATACTCCAAGTTTTGGTTGCTGCTTTTGGTTCACCTTCATCCTCAGGGGACCCTGCAGAAGCTTGTTCATCCAACCCACTGATTTCCTCTTGACTGCCTCCACACATCATTTGCAGAGAGGTCTGACCCTTATTTCCCTCCCATAGGCACTGGAAGTGAATTTAGACCAATTTTTAAAGTCTCTAATTTATGATACAATGTAATTTAAAGGGGAAAACATAAATGACACAATGGGAAATATGCATTGGGGGCTGTGTTCTCAAAGATTTGGCACTAAAAAATAATGAGGACAAATGACAATGGGAATACAGCAATGGTATCTTTGGAGTCAGCTGGTCCTAAGTTCAAATTCTGACTGCCCCCCTTCTTAAGTGTGTTATTTTGGCAAAATTCATTTCTCTTTGAACTTCACTTTTCTCTCCTATATAATAAGGCTAATTCCTACTTTGCATGGTTGTTGTGGGAATTAAATAAGATCATATGCTTAAAGCACCTAGGTTAGTAGGCTGCCTATCAATTTCAGTACCTTTTCCTTTCCCTTCCTTACCTTATTCCTGTGCTCTAACTCAAAATTGTACCCCAGTGCCAGTAACAGGGATGCTGCTGCGTTCCCCTCAACTTTACGCCTACCTTGGTAATCTGCTTCCAAATCTTCCTGATGCTGACCACTGGCTGGATCTCTACCATCTTGTTACTTTCAGTTCCCTGTCGGCCCATGCACTGCTGGGATAACCACCTGATGTGTTTTTTTGTACCTCTTTGGGGCTAGTTGCCTGCCCACCTTCTTGAATGGCTATCCCTGACAACTGGGTATGTCCACCACTCCCCTTGACCTAACAAAATCCCCCTTCCTGCTGCTGGGTTAGCCATTCCCCAACCCCCAAATGTTACCCTGCCTCCAAATCACCGGGCCTGATGCTTCAGAAAAGAGCTGTTCAGCTGCACTGTGCATAGTATCTCTTTGCCACCTGCACATGTTCAGAAAGGCTGTGATTTTTTTCCAGCTTTTATTTTAGATTCAGAGGGTATATGTGTAGGTTTGTTGCAAAGGTGTATGGCATGATGCTGAGGTTTGGAGTATGGTTGAATGTGTTACCTAGGTGGTGAGCAGAGTATCCAATAGGTAGTTTTTCAACCATTGCCCCCCTTCCTCCCTCCCCACTCTTGTTGTCCCCAGTATCTATTGTTCCTATCTTTATGTTCATATATACCCAATGTTTAGCTCCCACTTATATGTGAGAACACATGGTATTTGGTTTTCCATTTCTGTGTTAGTTCATTTAGGATAATGGCCTCCAGTTGCATCTATGTTGCTGCAAATTATAAAATTTCATTCTTTTTTATGGCTGCATAATTTTCCATGGTGTATATGTGCCACATTTCCTTTAGTAAATCCACCAATGATGGGCATTAAGGTTGATTCCATGTCTTTGCTATTGTCTCTATATTTGTTGTTTTTTTGTTTTTCAAAAAGAGTATGATCTAAAAAGAGTGACTGACCGGGTCTTGCTCTGTTACCCAGGCTGGAGTTCTGTGGTGCGATCATAGCTTGCTGCACCTCAAGCTCCTGGGCGCAAGCCATACTCCTGCCTCGGCTTCTTAAGTAGCTGGGACTACATGCACATGCCACCATGCCCAGTTAATTTTATTTAAGTTATTTTTTGTAAAGAAAGGGTTTCACTATGTTTCCCAGACTGTTCTTGAACTCGTGGCCTCAAGGGATCCTTCTGCCTTGACCTCTAAAAACACTGGAATTACAGGTGTGAGCCACTGTGCCTGGCCTTGCTATTGTGAATAGCGCTGCAATGAATATACAGGTGCGTGTCTTTTTGGTAGAATGATTTATTTTCCTTTGGGTATATACTTGGTAATGGGATTGCTGGGTTGAATGGTCATTCAACTCTTCTTTGAGAAATCTCTAAACTGCTTTCCACAGTGGCTAAACTAATTTACATTCCACCAATATATTCACATTGAGTATAAGTGTTCCCTTTTCTCCACAGCCCTGCCAACATCTGTCATTTTTTGACTTTTGAACAAAAGCAGAAAGGCTGTGATTTTTAAAGTGGAGCTGGGAAGTGGTCTGTCTGTCCAGATAGAGACTGCTGGTCTCTGCTAGTACAGCTTGAAGATCAGCAAGCATGCCACCTGGGGCATTGCACCACCATAAAACCTGTTTCTTTCCAGGCAGGAGTCCACCTAAGGCAGCATTGCCACAGCTGTAATAGGAAGTCTGAAAGGTGAGGTGAGGTGTTCCAGGGGAGACCGAGTAAGAAGCTCTGTATTTGTGTGCATTTGGAGCAGGTAGTCCAGGCCAAAGGCCCCAACGCAGTGAGTCATATGAGGCTGTACAACTGGAAAGCTGCCAGCTGGGCACACCCATTAGGATACATGTTCCTGCAGTGGCTTAGCAGAACTTTCCTATTAATATTTATTTAAATACCAACTCTACAGTTTCTGGACATAACTTTATATACCATCTTTCTGAAACTGTTTTTATGCCAAAACGAGTCCTTTAGAAAGTCCATTTATCTGAATTACTTTTTATTCTTCAAACTTATACAGCCACAAATACTTCTTCTGTTAGGAAGAATTGACTGTTTTGTTAACATTTAGCTTCATGTGGGTTTTACATTAAATTCTTAAAATCCAAGGCTATAAAATTCTGAGAGAATAAACGTATCTTAATAGAAACTTTGCAAATGCGCCACTTTATTAGTGATGGAAATGGTTATGAAAATCTGCTGCTTTTCATAGATAGTGCCAGTTACAGATAGAGAAATATTGTGGTAATCAGCATTTGATCAAGCTCTGGGTTCTGTGAAACTGATTCTTAATGCAAATTTTATCTCGAAAACTTTAGTCTGCTCTCCTAAAATAGCAATAGCCATTTTGAGCCATGGACTAAAATGCTTATGGTCCCAAGGATCCTAATATCATAGTTTGTAGGGAAGTCAGAATATGATGCTTCAACTTGCCAAAGCTGTTTCTTCTTAATCACCTCCAAAAAAGTTAAATTATTAACTGTGCAATTCATTCCAAATTGCATGTCACCATTCTCTCTTTATTTTTAATTTCAAAAAAACTATTCTGATCACTTTATTTTCTTGAATAGAGCACATGGAAAACAAATGTTTAGATAATAAGGTGTTGGTCTTATTTTAAATTTTGCTTAATTGGAACTTTAAAAATCAATGTGAAGGCTGGATCTTAAAGGCAAGCTTAAAAAGACAGTCACAGCCGGGTGCAGTGGCACATGCCTGTAGTCCCAGCTACTCATGAGGATTGCTTAAGCCCAGGAGTTTAAGTCCAGCTGGGGCAATGTAGCAAGACCCTGTCTCTCTCTCAAAAAAAAAAGAAGCAGCAGCAGCCGGTCTCAAAGGGTTGTATACCACATGATTGATTATATAACTAACCCCAAGTGACAAAATAATAGTATGGAAAACAGATCAGAGGTTGCCTGGGACCAGCACTGGGAGAACGGTGTGATTCTCAAGGAAGAATACTGGGGGTTTCTTTGTAGTGTCAGAAGAGTTCTGTACCCTGACTGTGGTGTTGGTTATTCGAATCTGCATGTGTGATAAAACTTCAGAAAACTATAGACCAAGAAAAAAAAAAAAGAAGAAAAAGTGTAAGTAACACTGGAATATGAATAAGGACTGTATCTGAGGTAATAATAATGAACAACATCAATTTCCTGGTTTTGACAATGTGCTCTGGGGATATGTAATAATACTGGGGGAAGTGAAGGGTACATGATAATTCTCTGTACTATTTTTCCAATTTCTTGTGAGAAACTATTTCAAACATAAAGATCAATTTTATGTTTATTATTTTAACAAATGAATGGAAAGAAGTAATTAGGTATATGAATTTTTTTTTTTAAAGAAAATTTTAAATGCCAGAATGTGAGTTCTTGGACTACTTGTATAAGGAAGTAACACCAAATGCTTTGGGAAAAAAGGAAGGTTGACAATAATCCATAACAATTTTCTGGTCACAGTTTCCTCAATAATATTTCCTTTCAGTGTTACTTTCTTCTCTCCCTCCCATTGGTCCAGTTTCCATCACTCTCTTCTGCTCCTTTTTAATATATGAAAGTTCTTCGCTTCTCTCTCCCTTTTTCACTGCCTTCTCTTCCTTGTGCCTAATGTAATCTCTCTCTTTTATCCTCACAAAACCCAAATCCAGGTCAGCAAATTCCATTTATAGTCATAAATCTGGTCTCTGCTCTGTGTGCACTCATACGTATTTCTGAAGAGAGGATGGGGTGTTGGAAGAATCTGACTAGCAGAGGTAGGTGGGGAGAGCAGAGCAGAGAAGTTCTCTTTATTTATACTTTAGTACTGAGGGCAAGAGTCTCAGCATTTAAATGTCTGAATTATTCCTTTGCATGGCAAGAATGTGTCTAGATTTTTAAAAGCAACAAACATAACTACATATAAATAAAGGCACCTCCAGTTTGGTAGTGTTTTCAATAACACTCGCCTTGGTCAAAATGTTGACAATATAAGGGGGCACTCAAAATTGCTAATTTTCTCATTCCAATGCAAGATCTCCTTACTACAGGGTTAAAGTAGGTTTTCCCAAAGCTGTTTCAGGGTTGATGCTTATTTGAATCTTTAGATCAGTATCATACCAAATCTGAAGACAATTATTCCTAATTGATTTTTATTCTATACTTAGGAAAAAAATGTGAAAGCAAAAGGAGGTTTCTGTTCAAGATTTAAAAATGATTCTGCATTGGCAATTACATAAATGAACTTTGGAGACTCTTGGGAATTGCTTGCTAAATTCAATTTTCTTTATAGTTTGGGCCACTCTAAACTCTTCTCCAAAGCCTTTAGAAGTTTTAAGGTCAAGAGACGACCAGAATAAGAACTGCAATTGCAGCTACATGGAGTGTCTGTGTGGAATAGAGAACATGACTTCTTTTATTACATATGACACAAGAAACAAATATCAAAGTGGACCCTGGTATCTATGGGTATTTAATGCAATGTAGCAGATGAATCACAAAGTTAACATTTATGAGACATTAATCGGGCCATTTCTAATGTCATTCCTTGCATGCATGCCTTCTCTGCCTTTCATTCATTTTGAAATAAAGAAAAAAATTGCCTTGGTTTTAGTGAACCTTAGAAAAATAAGTGTAAAAAAACATCTCTGGATGTGGTTTCTTGTTGATTTAGGATTCTGATAGCTTCATCATTCCTTTCTTGGTGTGTCTCTCCAGATATCTCAAAGTTATCTTAAATGATCTTAAATATGTTAAATATCCCAAATGATAATCTGGGAACCCCTAGAATGTAGACTCCTCAAAGGCAGGGATTTTGTCTGTGATCACTGCCATCCCAGTTCTAGAACAGTGTCTGGCACAAGTGCTCAATAGCCTTTGATTGAGTTGGGTTGGTAACTGGATGTTGGGAAAATAACTTTGTCTCTGGAGTCAGACTGACCTAGGTCAGAGTCCTGGCTCTGTGACTCAGTGACCTGGGACAAAGTATATCACTTCCCAGAGCTTCAGTTTTCTGATATGCCAGGTGCCGTTGGACCTCAGCAGAGAGAGTATGCACAAAGCACTGAGCATGGAGCTTGGGAGGTACCAGATGCTTAGTCAGTGACCATTCCCTTATGAATTCACAGCCATCCTACCCTTTTTCTGCTAGAATTATCTATTTTCCTGAATGCAACTGATTCAAAGTAAAGCATTTTCAGAGAAAGCTATCATGATTTCTAAGAAGAGTATCTAGGATCAGAATTCCCAGAAACAGAATGAACTTCTCCCTGTATTTCTTAGCTTTACAAGCCCTAAATCAGCTAATCTCATCTCCATAGGATCTACACCAGCATAAACATGGAAAACACCATTTTTTAGATTTCTGTCAACCTGAACATTCAGTATTTTCAGGCAGAAGAGTTGAGTTGAGTTGTGTTTTTATTTGTTCTATTTTATTTTCCACTTGTCAAGTAGATTAAGATTAATATGTAGCTCTATTTCGTTTGGAAAGCGGAGCTTTATTTCTCATATAAGGTTGCATCTTACAGGGTGGCCATTCTGACAAGCTAGAAACAGGCTCTTTGAGGGAGGAGCAAAGGGAACAGGAATTTATGCTGAAAGGGGTGGCGAAACATACATATTCAATAAACTATAGCAGGAGTCATGAATATTTATGAAAGGAGAAATATGCACATGCCCCAGTAAACTTCATGCCCCTTCATGGGTACCATGTTCAAAAAATAGTGGAGTTAGCATGATCCCAGGGAGGAGTTTTCAGCCCTCTGAGGTCAAAAGTTGAAGCAGAGGACATGAAAACCCTTACTGCGCATCCTCCATGGTCTCTTATCAGGAAGGAATGCTGGCCGGTTATTTTGTAGAAACCACAGAAGGGAGAGGTCGCATCAGGTGGTTGATACTAGGGGTGGAGTGAGTCTTTCCAAAGGGCTGGTTTCTGTTTAACCCTTAGGAAAAGGTGAGGGAGGGGTTATAATGAGGTTTCTCCAACCTCCCATCCCGTCATGGCTGGGAACTCAGTTTTTGAGTTTCTCTGGGGTCCCTTGGCAAAGAAGAGGTCTGTTCTGTTGCTTGGTGGGCTTAGGATTTCATTTCTATTTCTCATTTTCTTCCTTTTGCCTGAGATTTCCCAGAGGCAGTATTGATGGCCAAATTTTTATTTTGTCCCATTTCATTGCCAGGGGGGTGTGGCCCTCTTTAATGTCTAGGATGACCTAGGGGTCCAAAAATGCAGACCTTTCTTCTCTTTTTGACATTTCATGCCTGATATATTACATTCATCTAATAAGTGATTTCCAAGCATTCTAGTCTTTGAGGTTAATTATGTGTTCTCACTATCACTCAGTTGTATACCTTACATGCCTCATTTATTTTATTAACTAATGTTGTAATCAGTTACTGACTGCCTACTTTGTGTCTTTGCATTTTAGTTCTGTGGGAAATAAGGAAGGATAAGAAACAAGTTGAGGGGTTGGACTCTATTCTCAAGGAGAAAAGAAATACAACGAAAATTTAAAATATTTACTGTATTATATATGTTTATAAAATGGCTTGCATAAATAAAGGTGCTAAATAAGTGGTTTTAATAATTACTAGGTCTGTAGTTAAATGGAAGAGACAAATCTTGTAAACATTACACCCCTAGGAAAAATTATTAGAGGATATAGGTATATGCATAACACTATGGTAGAGACTGTATTTCTATATTGTTTTGAAGTGTTAGAATTACCATAAATAGGCTGATCATAGGCCATCCAGCAAAAAGGAAGTTACCAGCAAGGGCCAAAAGAAACTAATGAATATAAAAAGCTGGTGCCCTCTCAGGAAGGCCCAGAGATTAAAATCACCATGTCCATGGAGTGTGGAAAACTCCATTCTGATATGGGCCAGCCATACTGTCCAAGGGGACGGATCCAAGGGGCGGGAAGGTGAGGCTAGTTCCCTGCAAGGTTAGTAACAGAATCTTAGGGAAGTCTTTCTGTGTATAAGGAGTATCATGGTGAGGGTGATGTTGGCTATAAGACATGCTGGGAAATGGAAGAAAGAAGGGCAGGATTGAAGTGGTTGAGGTTGAAGCAACGGGAAATTAGTTGGGACAAAAGGGTTGAGCCCTTCTAGGGCTAGAAACCCAAATCACCAGGTCTAAGAAAGTATAGCAAACTTTAATCTAGTGTTTCTCTAAATATCAAAAAGTTCTAGCGATCATCTTGGACATTTGCTAAAAATACACGGCCAGGGCCGGGCGCGGTGGCTCACGCCTGTAATCCCAGCACTTTGGGAGGCCGAGGCGGGCGGATCACGAGGTCAGGAGATCGAGACCATCCCGGCTAAAACGGTGAAACCCTGTCTCTACTAAAAATACAAAAAATTAGCCAGGCGTAGTGGCGGGCGCCTGTAGTCCCAGCTACTTGGGAGGCTGAGGCAGGAGAATGGCGTGAACCCGGGAGGCGGAGCTTGCAGTGAGCCGAGATCCCGCCACTGCACTCCAGCCTGGGCGACAGAGCGAGACTCCGTCTCAAAAAAAAAAAAAAAAAAAAAAAAAAAAAAAAAAAAAAAAAAAAAAAAAAAATACACGGCCAGACCCTGCCCCATGTCTCTCACAGCAGGATCTTTAGGAGAGAGCTTAGGATTCTGTATTTTTAATGAGTGCTCCTGATGAGCTTTTATGACTAGAGAAATTTGGAAAACATTGCTTTAGTCCAACCCAATCTGGCATCAGGATTCAAACTCTCTCTCAGAGGGTAGGGCAAGACTGGGAAGCAAGGACTTTTTGGATTCAGAAGGGTGTGTAGATGGTATATCTGGAAGGCGTCCTGGAAGCAAGATACAGCCTGGAGAAACAGGGCTATCATATTCTGGATGTGGGAATTAGGGCTCCAGTGAACTGAAACTATTTTAGGCAGGGCTCTCGTGCTTGTGGGAGACCAGAGAAGATCCTGGGAAATACAGCATCAGTCAAGAATTCAGCCACAGAGATGGGAGGGGTGATAACCGCCTCCAGCCCTCTCAGGGCAAACAGAATATTTAGGCTTGTGTGGTGTCCCTGTCTTGATGGGCTGGGTTAGGCTGTACCCTTATGGGTAAAAACTGAGTGGTACCTCTCTATTGAGAAAGATGTTGTTACTGGATGGCAGCCATTAGAGCAAATGAAAGGTCCTCTGGACACCAGAATTCACCAAGGAGGCTAGACAGGCCATGAGGAAACTCCAGCTTCTTTCAAAGCTTCGGTCCATTTGGTTCAGATGTGAAAGGATTTGGGTGTCCTTGAAGCTTCACCCTCTTAAGTCCAGCAGGGTCATAGTGGGGGTGATCATGTGCTAGATATCCCTAAGGAGAAGGATAATCTTGGAGGGCCAGATTGTGCTAGGAAGCCCAGGAGACCGTCCCATAATGCAGCCTTAGTCTCCCGCGGTCTTGGAGGATGCCCTGGCCATGTTCATTACTCTCAGGTGAGGCTAGAGCAGGCAGGTGGAGGTGCATGTGAGATGGAAGGGAATGATTAGTGGGTTCTGTTGGACCAAGAGTACGGATTGATAGATTAGGAAGTAATGCATTTTGACTTTGATCATGAAATGAACAAGAGAAATTACAGCCACTTTTAAAGAACTAAAATGATAGGCTGGACAATAATAAATGCTGGCAAGGATGTGGAGAAATGGGAATCCTTGTACACTGCTACTGGAAAAGTAAATTAGTACAACCACTATGGAGAACAGTTTGGAGCTTCCTCAGAAAACTAAAAATAGAGCTACAATATAATCCAGCAATCCCACTGCTAGGACCCCAAAGAAAGGAAATCTGTATATTGAAGAGATAGCTGCACTCCCATGTTTACTGCAGCACTATTCACAATAGCTAAGATGTGGAAGCAACCTAAATTTCCACCAACGGATGAATAGATAAAGAAAATGTGGTACATATACACAATGGAGTACTATTCAGCCATAAAAAAAATGAGATCCAGTCATTTGCAACAACATGGATGGAGCTGGAGGTCATTATGTTAAGTGAAATAAGTCAGACACATAAGTACAAACTACACTTGTTCTTACTTATTTGTGGGGTCTAAAAATGCAAACAACTGAACGTATGAAGACAGAGAATAGAAGCGTGGTTACCAGAAGCTTGGAAACATGGAGGTTAAGTGGGGACATTTAATGCGCACAAAAAGTAGTTACAAAGAATGAATAAGATCTAGTATTTGCTAGCACAAGAGGGTGAGTATAGTCAAAAATAATTTAATTGGACATTTAAAAATAATTAAAGGAGCATTATTGGATTGTTTGTAACACAAAGGACAAATGCTTGAGATAATGGACACCCCATTACCCTGATGTGATTATTATGCATTGCATGCCTGTGTCAAAATATCTCATGTTAAATATATACACCTACTCTGTACTGACAAACATTCAAAAAATGTTTTAAAATTAAAAAAAGAGTCTGGAGAATGATTCTAAATTCTGATAAATTTGTTTTCCTCTCTCAACAGGAATCTCCCATTATTTTCCTCTTGGCCCAGAGAAAAGATAGCCTTTCTGGTTCACTGTTCCTTATGCCAATACTACAGGTTATATTGTTATATTTTGTACTTTTCAGTTTCTTTTTCAGAATCAATAAATATTTGAGTACAAATTTGTTTTGATGAATTGGAAGGCCTGGCTGTCTTCACCTTTCAGAATCCTCTCTGCCAGTCACACTACTACCTACTGATTATAATCATGTCAAAAATCACCTCTTCCATGAAACCTCTCCTGGCTCATCCATCGATAGGTGATTTTTCCATCCTTCAAACCCCATACATTGCACCTTTGTTTGTAAGTTCTTTATGGCCCTCCCATTTTATTTTCTTCCTTTTCTCTTCAACAACATTTAATTTATAACCCTCCCTGTTCCATAAAGGAAATCTATAGAAGAAAATACAATATAAATGAGAAAATGCAAATGTAAGAAAAATAAATATAGGAATATAAGATGAAGCCAAGTGTTACAAATATTTATTGAACACTAGTCATGTCCCACATGATAGACAGTGCCTGCTCTCCTGGAATACAGACCCGACCCAGGGCAAAGCTGTGGCTTTTGGACGAGGAAACATTCAGAGACCAGCTTCAAACCTTCACCAGAGTTTTAGTGTTAATAATTCAGTCCTGACTTACCCATACTCTCATGAAATCACCTACTCCTTACTATTGTGTGTCTGTAGAAATCAGGCAACAGTGTAATCTTGATGGTGCTAGTATTTTTCATCAAAGGACCTTCTTTCCCACTCCATCGATATCTTGCTAGCTCTTCTCTGAGTCTTTTTCAAGTTCTCAAGTCTTCAATGCCAAGACTGTAAAGCCATTCATATAATTATGCTGGGGAGACTGGATATCCCTCAATTTTTTTCAAGGAACTTCTATTCTAGCTTGTGTGTACTTAGTACATTATATTAACGTCTAATAAAATGAACTACTGGCAGGCTTTTCATTAGGTTATAGCTGCTTCTGCAAAAGAAACCTCATTTATATGTTGTTTCCTCTACATTGGCTAAATGGCAGCAAATAAGATAAGGATATGATTATCATTTTTCAAATGTTGTGAGAGCACTCCATGGCACCAACATCGTCATCTACGGCTCCAGGGCAAACTATGCATGGACCATTCTGACTGTACAAATATAAGGAAACGTAGATTGTTACCATGGCAACAAGAAAAGCTACAGATTTCCTCCAAATCACTACCTAATTTGTATATTTTAAGCAAAATTATTGTAGAGGAAAGTCCCTTCTAGGCCATTTTTAAAGCCAATCATTTGCATTAGGAAAGTTAGAAAAATTATATCATCTCAGATGTAACTAGTAATTAGAATATTTTTCTCACAGGACTTATTTCTTCAAGAATGCTGAATTTTTGCTGCTGTATTTTCAAAATTCAACTAAGTTGCTCATTTAAAATCATGGGTTTAAGTACTCCTCCATGAATTAGAGTTTTACTCTCAGGAAGCTCCAAGAAATGTTAATTTCCTGGAGTCTGTTTTTCCCATTATATGATAAAATCAGGTACCAGGCACCCAATACTTTAACATAGAAAGAGAATATTGGACTCTCTTTCCAAAAAGAGCCAGGTATCTGCATTTATGTATATCAGTATTCTCATCATCATGTCTGGGCTTTTGCTCGGAGCAAGGTTGCATCCGGTATAATGTGGGGCAGAGGCCGGGTGCAGTGGCTTATGCCTGTAATCCCGGCACTTTAGGAGGCCAAGGCGGGCTAATCACCTGAGGTCAGGAGTTTGAGACCAGCCTGGCCAACATGGCGAAACCCTGTCCCTACTAAAAATACAAAAATTAGCCAGGCACGGTGGCGCACACCTGTAGTCCCAGCTACTCGGGAGGCTGAGGCAGGAGAATCGTTTGAACCCGGGAGGCGGAGGTTGCAGTGAGTCGAGATCACGCCACTTCACTCCAGCCTGGGTGACAGAGCAAGACTCCATCTCAAAATATAAAAAAATAATATGGGGCAGAAAGTTTCGAGACCAAGGTGTATAGGGTCAGTGTGAACAGCAGCATGCTGAGGTCAGCCTGCAATCCAAGGGGCAAGCAGGATCCAACCTGAGAGGTCACCTGGGTAATGGTTGGAGCCAACTGGGTGACACCAAAAGCCAAACTAAAGCCAGGAATCTGGGAGCAAATGCTAGGGGGACCCAAATAAATTTGCACAAGGTAAATCTCTTGCTTCAGGCAGATGTTTCATCCTTACCTGTGTTTCTCAAGCTGTTTTGACCACAACTCATAGTATGAAATATATTTTATATCATAGCCTGATGCACACTCCTGTGTCAGAGTTTCAGAAAGATACTTGCCCTTACCATGCGTCTGTCACTCTCATGTTTTCAATTCTCTTAGGTTCAATTCTATTTCATTTAGAGATGTTAGTAGGAGACTTACTAAACTGATTTCATGATCCGCTAATTGATAGAAATATATAGCTCAAAATAAACTGTCTTGGAGAGTTGGGAGATGGGATGCAGAGAGTACAAAAACAAACAAAACACAACTGGAGGACATGGTTTCCGATCTCAAGGCTTTGAAAGCTCCTTAGGAAGTTAGAATGTGACATGAAACAACAAAATAACACATTTGGAATAAAGAAATCGAAACAAGCAGGTTCACAAGCAAATTAATATTAATACTGGAAGCATTGACTCCAGATGTGAAAGGTTAAGTTAGAGTCAATGATTAGAGGTTTCCTAGAATAACACGTGTAAAGCCAGCTTTGGGGTAACTTCTCTGGATAAAGCATCCAGAGAAGTAAATAGCACAGATAGTGTAACAACATGCTTCAGCAGATAAGCCTAAATTGTGTTTCTGGGTTGGAGAGGAGAGTGTGTGTAACATAGAGGGATGAAGAAATTAACTTAGATGAGATGAGGTAGGTGGAAGCTTTCAATACTTTAGGATCAGCCTCCAAAAAACATTAGAAGAAAACTACCCTTATCTATATAATTAACACAGTGTAATTGTGTTTAAGGATTATTCTGGTGACTGCTAAGAGAGGATGCATTGCCTTGGGAGGCCGAGGCAGGTGGATCATGAAGTCAGGAGATCGAGACCAGCCTGGCCAACATGGTGAAACCCCATTTCTACTAAAAACACAAAAATTAGCGGGCGTGGTGGCACACACCTGTAATCCCAGCTACTTGGGAGGCTGAGGCAGGAGAATTGCTTGAACCCGGGAGGCGGAGGTTGCAGTGAGCTGAGATTGTGCCACTGCACTCCAGCCTGGGCGACAGAGCGAGACTCCATCTCAAAAAAAAAAAAAAAAAAAAAGAGGATGCATTGCCATCAGATTTATTGGAAACAGGGAATATTGTTGTTGTAATCTAGAGAGAAAGAAAAATCTGATCTATGTCACAGGAATGAAAATACAAGAAGGGAAGGATCCAGGAGACCTGAGGATGCACTTGGGACCTGTAGATAAGTTTCATGACCTATCTTCCTGGCATAAGCCTCCAAAGCTGAGTGTAACTTGAGTGGTAATTAAGGCACTGGCTGCCCACAGTTGTATCCTTGTTGCCCTGCCAGGGCACTATCTTTCCCTCAGCTTGACCTGGAATTACCAGTATTCATCATTGCTGGGTTAAACCACAAAGACAAAACTCCTTCAAAAGTCTTTGGACCCGGTAGGCTGGGACAGTAACCTTTCATCAGCCCCCCTTCTATCTCTGAAAAGCTATGTATGAATTTAAGAAAAAGCTAACTCTTTGGAAAAATTGGACCTGGACCTTCCAAGCTAATGAAAGAACAGAGATTCTTCATGTGGATGGGAATGGCTGGACCTCAGAGCCCTGCCTTCTCTTTCTAGAGGTTATCTTTCCCATGGGGAGCTCACTAATTGCCCTGCTCCTCTGTTATACTGGGGTCACCCCTCACTTCTCCACTTCCCTGCCTAGGGCTTGGTTTCATTAGAGAAATGTGACAACAGGTTTAGCTACAAACGCCCATTAACATCAAGCGTCAGAATCTCAGGCGTGCACAACAGCTGGCACCGGTGAAAGCTCAGCCCTCTCTTGGCACTGTGCCTATTCCGCCCATGCTATTAACTGCCTTGATCAAAGTTGTCTCTATATTGATCTCTCCCCCTTGTTAACTCATGAGACCCCTGATAGATAGAGCTAGCATCTTATTCCTTTACGCATCACCTTAGTGCTTAACACATAGTACCTTGCACTGATGTTTGCACATAAATTAACAGCATAATTATAATATGAGGCATGATGGTTGTATTCCAGGTGTCTCTACAAGGCTGAAGTTAAAATTCATATCTTTTATTTAAGAGACTAACCCTAAATTATTTTCCATGGCAATTTACTAGAGATTAGTTTATCAAATTAGTTATTTGGCCTTGAATTCACTGTGAGGACATAGATGGTGAATATTAAGGGGGAGACCACAAGAAGGGGCTGAGGAGCCTCAGAGACACTCAGAGAAAGGAAATATACATATAAAAACAGAAGTGGAGCACTGCAATCAAATGTCATCTATTTCACAATCCTACCTCAAATTACTCTGCCTATACCACTGCACATTTGCTTAAATGATATCATGTAATGGTCTCCCCCAACTTTTTAAGTAGTGTGTTTCCTCAATATCTCCAGGTGGAGCACAAATAGAATATATTGTTCCTTTTCAAGGCTAGCACTATGGGCTATGACCCTCTCCACCCCAAATCTACAATGTTGGCACATAGAAGATGCTCAAGAAGTACTTGTGAGTGGATAAATACGTACACTTCACAGTGAGGGACTGTCTCTGCCTTGCTCATTTTATCTTAGGCCTAGTGCGTAATAATCTCAATGAGTGTTTTGTATGAATAAATAGACATTTTTTCAATGCATCTTGAATCCCCCATTTTCTTTCAGGGCTGGAACAAACATTATCTCTGATAATTTAAACTCAGATTTCCTTGTATTAATCACATCTGTAAGTATGTAATAGAAGCATTAACTTTTTCAGTTAAAATTCTGGTAGAGAGCTACAACCAAAGATTACATATCTTCTATAATGCCTTCATATTTATGATCATCTCTAGAACTAGGAGCTAGTTGAACCTGACCATAGATTACCCATTGACATATTCGATGATTCAATAGTATAACTAATCAGGAGTAATTTCAACTCCTCTTTGGAATTTTGAATTAAATAATCTTTACATGTCAATATAGAAGATGATGCGTTAAAGAAATCCAAGTTTCTTTGGTAGTCAGTTATTCAGTCTTTTTTTCAGGGCCATTGTCTGGTAATTACTCAGATGAATTATGAGAAAATATCTGTACATTCCTGGGTAATGACAGATTCTTCCAACCTAAAAAATTTCCACACTGGCCTTCCACCAACAGGAACTGTTGATGTACCTGGGAGAAGTTTAGAAAGTAAGAACATTTCTGTGAAATGATGCTACACAAATATTGAAATTGATTTCTGAGTTGGAATCTACCAATAGTGGGCCTGTTATCTGTCTCATATTTATTTTTATTAATTACATAAAATAATTTCAATGTACCATAAAAATCAGGAAAAAGCTTAAAATATGTATTGCCTTTTTCGTTAAATATCCTCCTATGAGTCCATTTTAAGAAATGCCTAGTATTTCATCTAATAAATGGATCATAATATGAATAATTTTAAAATAAAAATCTGTAACAACAAAATATGTACTCTTCTGAAAGCATCCACAGTCTCTCCCAAGACATCATTCTCAGCTTCTAGAAAAACAACGCTAAACACAAAGAAACCTCAGCTCCAGGTAAGATAAATGGAATAAATTTGGTGTCTCATTGAACATCTGGCTCTTAGGTTCTTTACTATCTAAAATATTGAGGATTGTTGCTCAAAGGAGTACAGAGTAATGAGATAGAAAGATCCTTTTGATAAAAATGATCACCAAGGGAGCACTCAAAGTTCCTGTGTTCATTTAAGTCTTGGATGGTCCCTAGATGTCTAACTGATAATTACTCTTCCAGGAAGTTTGTAGGATGCAAAAGTCACTCCTTCCTTGTAATATAAGGTAGCTGAACAAACTAGACAAGATAAATGGCAAAACTTTGTAAGATCTTCCTTGATTATCTTAATAATGTTCTTGATTAAACTTAATTTATATCCACAATCATTTATTAAGCAGCTACTCTTTCCTGGGATTGGGGACATAAACATGAGTAAGACCCTGTACTGTAAGGAAGAGAGCTTTTAACCTCCATTGGCAAAGTTAATCATTATCTGTAAATACTTAACAATATACATTATTTCCAAATAAGATTTGATTTTTTAACATAATTCATTATTTCACATATCTATGGCACAAATGGCCTGGCTTGCTTCTTGTAGGGTATCATACTTCTTCCGTCTTGAGGCCCTGTCCCTGGACCTCTGGGCTTCTTCCATATTGGCATGTCCTTAGTAACAAATTGACAGAAGGAAATGTTTAATAACTACAGACAGATAGTTGTATTTGATATCCATATTGATAGTTGTCAGCATGGCACCATTCCTCAATGGGTCACAAAAAAACCATGATCTTTTAGACAAGGGTCTCACCATTATATATCCCTCCACTGATGGATGTCCTATTAGCTGTTCTTAAGGTGGATAGTTTTCTGCTCAAAGAGAGTTTCTGTTCTCTTTTTTTTTTTTTTTTTTTTTTTGAGACGGATTCTCACTCTGTCACCCAGGCTGGAGTGCAGTGGCACAATCTCAGCTCACTGCAAGCTCCACCTCCCAGGTTCATGCCATTCTCCTGCCTCAGCCTCCCGAGTAGCTGGGAATACAGGCACCCGCCACCACACCTGGCTAATTTTTTGTATTTTTTTTTTTTAGTAGAGACGGGGTTTCACCGTTAGCCAGGATGGTCTCGATCTCCTGACCTCATGATCTGCCCGCCTTGGCCTCCCAAAGTGCTGGGATTACAGGCATGAGCCACCGCACCCGGCCTTTTCTGTTCTCTTAGAAGCATCAGCTGCTTCTTTTTTTTTTTTTTTCTCTTGAGACACAGTCTCGCTCTGTCGCCCAGGCTGGAGTGCAGTGGCACAATCTTGGCTCACTGCAACCTCCACCTCCTGGGTTCAAGTGATTCTCATGCCTTAGCCTCCCGAGTAGCTGGGATTACAGGCATGCACCACCATGCCTGACTGACTTTTTGTATTTTTAGTAGCAATGGGGTTTTGCCATGTTGGCCAAGCTACTCTCAAACTCCTGACCTCAGGTGATCTGCCTACCTCAGCCTCCCAAAGTGCTGGGATTACAGGTGTGAGCCACCATGCCCGGCCAGCTACTTCTTTTTAATTCATTGCTTCATCACATATGTATTGAGCACCTACTCCATGGGGCTGCTGCTCTCTGCTTATGATACCACCTGTCTTGGACCCAAGGCATTTCCCTGCCTTTTTCAGAGTCACATTTTTTTTTCTTTACAGAAATAATTAAGTTATCAAAGTCACAGTTTTAATAATCATTCTATCACATGTGCTCAATGTATCAGAGATTTTCCCTGGACTAACAGTAAAGTAAGTTAGCTTAGGTTTAATTGGAATGGGGCTGTCTTACTTGATTGAACTAATGAAAATTACAAGCATTTAAAATTTGAATTACTTTAATAAGGACAAAACGGTCATTTCCTAAATTAATTATAATTTATTAACTACCTTTAAACCCTTATTAATTAAATAGGATAGTAAAGTGAAATTTAAAAAATGGATGATTTCCTGAAGGAGATGAAATAGTGATTTAAAAAATCTTTCTCTATTGGTTTAATAGACAAGCACAGCATGGTGTAATTCATCCAGGACTCAGAACAGCAGGATGATGAAAGACTCTGTATACATAGGGCATTTGGGTGATGGGAACTAGTGAGGATTATTTTCCAGAGAATGACTGTATTCTATTTTACCCTATTTCAGTAGTTATTAACTTTTCTGTGGTTGAGAACTTGACACACATAAGTCAACTGATGTTTCCTAGGTATGCCTTATATACCAGGCATTGTGCTGAGAGCTGAGAGTTTGATGAAAGCTAGGGACTCATTCCAACAGAAAAAATTAAAATGTACACATGTACATTCATTTCCATTTCTGTGTACTAACTCTCAGGGATATATAGACCCCTAAAATTCATCCATGAAGACCCCTGGGTCTGTGGATCTAATTTAAGGACCACTGCCCTATTTGAAGTTGTTCAAGCAAGGAATGATGTGTGTGTCTTAGGACTAGTCACTTAAGCCCCCTAGGCTTCCATTTCTTTGTTAAATGAGGACAGTCAGTGAAAGCCTTCTATTTCTAAGAATCTAGGGGGCTGTGAATAAGTGTTATAAGTATGCTTGCTTGTACATATCATCTGTCTCTCTGTTGCCTATATTTGTGTGGGGGCATAGAAGAGACTAGCACAAAACAGAGCATCACCAAATAGAATAGGAATCAGAGGATCATCTGGAATTTCAAAATCGTATCAACTCCTCTACAATAAGAGGCAGTGGCAATCCAGAAGGTAAATGATCCCACAGTGAATGAATGGCAGAGTCAGGGCTTGGCCCCATATTTCCTGACCCTCAGCTCACAGTGTGCATGAAAAGTTATCCTCCATTAATGCCCACAAAATGGGTTATGATGGATTAATAACTAGCTTTTTGAATTGACATCAAATCTCAGTTGTTTTCTTGTGGAATTAAGGGATTTGTCTTTAATTAGAGGTGTTACTAATGAAAATGTTTTATAAGCTTAGATCCTTCGTATAAAAGACACTTAGGAAATTCAAGGATATCTGGGAAATCTAGAAAGCATTGCTAGTGGCAGTAACTTTGGTGTTACGGGTTGAATTGTGTTTCTCCAAAATTCATATATTGCAGTCCCAGCCCCCAGCACCCCAGAACGCGACTATATTTAAAAACAGGGTCTTCACAGAGGGAATCAAGTTAAGATGAGAGCATTTGGCTGCATCCTACTCCAATACGATGGGTGTCTTAATTAAAAGGGGAAATTTGCACACAAAGACCCACACAGGGAGAGAGCCATGTGAACCTGATGGCAGGGATCAGAGTGATGCTTCTGGAAGCCAAGGAACTCCAAAGATTGCTTGCCAACTTCCAGAAGCCAGGGGAGAGGCCTGCAACAGATTTTCTCTCACAGCGGTCAGAAGAGAGATTTTCTCTCACAACCCTGCTGACACCTGGATTTTGGATGTCCAGCCTCCAGAACCCCAGATAATAAATGTCTGTTGTTTAAGCCATCCAGTTTACAATACTTTATTACAATAGCTTCGGCAAACCAGTCTACCTAGGAAGGTCACATGGCCTCTCTGGACTTGGTTTCCTTGTATGTCAAGTGAGGGATGAACCAGATAAGTAGCTTTTTTTTTTTTTTTTGAGACGGAGTCTTGCTCTGTCACCCAGGCTGGAGAGTGCAGTTGCACGATCTCTGTTCACTGCAACCTTCACCTCCTGGGTTCAAGTGATTCTCCTGCCTCAGCCTCCTGAGTAGCTGGGACTACAGGCACCTGCCACCATGCCCGGCTAATTTTTGTATTTTTAGTAAAGATGGGGTTTCACCATTTTAGCCAGGCTGGTCCCAAACTCTTGACCTCAAGTGATCTGCCCACCTTGGCCTCCCAAAGTGCTGCGATTACAGCAGATAAGTAGTTTATTGATGGTGTTCTTGGAGCCTTTCAGGGGCCTCTGTGTGAGTGTTTGTGATACAGAAAACTGGAACAAATGAAATAGTATGTATATATAGTGTATATATAGTATAGTGTGTTATATAGTATATATATTATACACATATATATTATATATACTATATTGTATTAATGTGTGTGTGTGAGTGCATGCACACGTGCATTCAGGGTTCCCCTCACATCCTCTTCTTCTGTACCAGCTGAGGCTGCTTCCGAGAAACAGGTCCTTTCTGTTTTCCAGATAGTAAAATCTGCCCAAGATACTATGTGAAAGAGCAGGTTTCACAGCAGTGTGCATGGTATGCTTCCTTCCTTTTGTATTAAAAAGTGAAATAATTTAAAAAGATGGACAATAACAACTGTTGGTGAGGAAGTGGAGAAATTGGAACACACATAAGTTGCTGGTGGGAAGGTAGAATGATGTAGCCACTTTGGAAAAGAGTCTGGCAGTTTTGCAAAATAATTACATGTAGATTTACTGTATGACCCAGCAATCCCACTCCTAGATGCATCCCAAGACAATTGAAAATACCTGTTCATACAAAAATGTGTACATGTGTGTTTGTAGCAGTATTATTCATAATAGCCAAAAGCTTCGAAACAATAAATATCTATCAATTAATGAATAGATCAAATGTGGTATATGTCTATACAATGGGGATAGTCAATCATAGAAAGGAATGAAGCACTGATACATGCTGCAACATGGATGAACCTTGAAAACATTGTGCTAAGTGAAAGAAGCCAGTCACAAAGGCCACCTACTGTATGATTCAATTTACATGAAATGTCCAGAATAGACAAATCTACAGAGACAGGAGTAGATTAATGATTGCTTAGGGATAGTGGGTTGGGGGAACTGGGGGCAGGGGGGTGATAGCTAAGGGGCATTTATTTTTGGAGTGATGAAAATGTTCTTTAATTAGTGATGATGGCTGTACATCTTTATGAATATAATAAAAACCACTTAATTGTACACTTTAAAAGAGTGAATTTTATGGTATATTATGTTTCAATTTTTAAAACCTGGGAAGAGAATAAAATTTGTTTAGAAAGAGGGACAAATAATTCATTATTTTCTTTATTATGCATGAAGAAACTCTGTAAGAAGACATAACACACTGATCAGTGGTTACCTGGATTGGGAGGGGCTTCTGAGACACTCATAACTGAGCAGATGGGGGACAAGTGAAAAAGAGGGACTTAAAAAGAAATGTAAAATTTAAAATTATACCTTTTAATATTTTATGATTGAAATTTGAACCATGTGGCTACATTTAAAAAAAATAAAATTATATAAAACTATGTACATTGTATTAGAATTTTTTTATTATTATTTTTTGTTGAGATAGGGTCTCTGTCACCCCGGCTGGAGCGCAGTGGCGTAATCTTGGCTCACTGCGACCTCCACCTCCTGGGCTCAAGCAATCCTCCCTGCCCCAGCCCCACAGGTACACACCACCATGCCTGGCTAATTTTTGTATTTTTTTGTAGAGACGGGGTTTTGCCATGTTGCCCAGGCTGGTCTTGAACTCCTGAGATCAAGTGATCTACCCACCTTGGCCACTCAAAGTGCTAAGATTACAGGCGTGAGCCACCGTGCCCGGCCAAGAGTTTTATTATAGTTAGTTTGGTAGTATAGAAGTTTGACCCCCCAGCTATGAGAGCTTGAAGACACATATTTAATTTTTGTCTTTAGGACATTGGGTTAATTTATCATTAGGACACATATTGTTGGATTCCTTTTCTTATGATTCTTGATTACCCATGCTAGACAATCCTTTCTTTATTTTGGTACAATTCTTATTTTTTTTTCTAGAACTATTTGGTGTCCTTGTTCTCTGCATATGTTCTTCTCTTATTAAATAGAAACAAGTATACATCTTATATATATAACTCCAGGGTTTATTATTTTCTACTTTTTTCATAATATCAACTACTAAGACTTTCTATTGCATCTCCTGGGAAGTGCTATAGAAACTAACATAGGCCTTTATTTGAAAAAAAAAAAAAAAAAAGAAAGGATCTTGAAACTTAAAAGAAAATATATGAAAAAAACCCCACCAGACTACATGGTATTTAAAGTCTATACCATCTCTTAAGATGTTATGATTTTATGATTCACTGGCTCAGGATAATCTAGGGACAGATCCAGGTTTTGTGGAACATGAACCTTATATAATTTAGAGATCACTTTTTAAGAAAAGGAATTTTGGAACCCATTTTCTCTGGAATTTCCACACTGCAAGATGTGTCAGATATGCCAAGAGATGATCAGATATGTTGAGATCACAGATATCCAAGTTTGCTTACAAAAACACTGTTTGTAGTGTCACTGTAAATTTGTACCCTCCATTCATAGGAATTCTGAACATTTTTATTTTAGGATTCCTACTTTAAAAAATACAATGTGTTTACATTTGAATACATTGCAATATCAAGCATGTCTCTGACAAAATAGAACTTCCATTTTGAATAGCAGAAAATGAGATAAAATCTTCAACTTACGATTTTACCTATCTGATAATTGAAAGAATTCTTCATAGACTAGCATCTGGCTCTGTTTATTTCAAAGTTCTGTTTGTCTCCACATTCATTACACAATATAGCCCATGCCCTTAATCTTTGAATTATGATACCAGATGAGTCCCAGAGTGGGCACTTGCACTATTCATCGAGGAAATTTTATCCTGGGAGGCCAGTAGTAACCTAACTACACAGAGAATTGACTGATGACTGAATCAATAGATCCCACTAAATTCAGGCTGAATGTCTCCAGTTCAACTTCCCCTAAGGTGGATCTTCAAAATACCTCTGGTCACACCAAGGCCACCCAACAAAATGGAAAATGTGATAAAGGAAAAGTAGTAGTGGAAAGGGAAAGCTCTTTTTTTTTTTATTACACTTTAAGTTTTAGGGTACATGTGCACAACGTGCAGGTTTGTTACATAAGTATACATGTGCCATGTTGGTGTGCTGCACCCATTAACTCGTCATTTACATTAGGTATATCTCCTAATGCTATCCCTCCCCCCTCCCCCCACCCCACAACAGTCCCCGGTGTGTGATGTTCCCCTTCCTGTGTCCATGTGTTCTCACTGTTCAATTCCCACCTATGAGTAAGAACATGCGGTGTTTGGTTTTTTGTCCTTGCGATAGTTTGCTGAGAATGATGGTTTCCAGCTTCATCCATGTCCCTACAAAGGACATGAACTCATCCTTTTTTATGGCTGCATAGTATTCCATGGTGTATATGTGCCACATTTTCTTAATCCAGTCTATCATTGTTGGACATTTGGGTTGGTTCCAAGTCTTTGCTATTGGGAATAGTGCCGCAATAAACATACGTGTGCATGTGTCTTTATAGCAGCATGATTTATAGTCCTTTGGGTATATACCCAGTAATGGGATGGCTGGGTCAAATGGTATTTCTAGTTCTAGATCCCTGAGGAATCGCCACACTGACTTACACAATGGTTGAACTAGTTTACACTTCCACCAACAGTGTAAAACTGTTCCTATTTCTCCACATCCTCTCCAGCACCTGTTGTTTCCTGACTTTTTAATGATCTCCATTCTAACTGGTGTGAGATGGTATCTCATTGTGGTTTTGATTTGCATTTCTCTGATGGGCAGTGATGATGAGCATTTTTTCATGTGTTTTTTGGCTGCATAAATGTCTTCTTTTGAGAAGTGTCTGTTCACATCCTTCGCCCACTTGTTGATGGGGCTGTTTGTTTTTCTCTTGTAAATTTGTTTGAGTTCATTGTAGATTCTGGATATTAGCCCTGTGTCAGATGAGCATATTGCAAAAATTTTCTCCCATGTTGTAGGTTGCCTGTTCACTCTGATGGTAGTTTCTTTTGCTGTGCAGAAGCTCTTTAGTTTAATTAGATCCCATTTGTCTATTTTGGCTTTTGTTGCCATTGCTTTTGGTGTTTAGTCATGAAGTTCTTGCCCATGCCTGTGTCCTGAATGGTATTGCCTAGGTTTTCTTCTAGGGTTTTTATGGTTTTAGGTCTAACATTTAAGTCTTTAATCCATCTTCAATTAATTTTTGTATAAGGTGTAAGGAAGGGATCCAGTTTCAGCTTTCTACATACGGCTAGCCAGTTTTCCCAGCACCATTTATTAAATAGGGAATCCTTTCCCTGTTGCTTGTTTTTCTCAGGTTTGTCAAAGATCAGATATTTGTAGATGTGTGGCATTATTTCTGAGGGCTCTGTTCTGTTCCATTGGTCTATATCTCTGTTTTGGTACCAGTACCATGCTATTTTGGTTCCTGTAGCCATGTAGTATAGTTTGAAGTCAGGTAGTGTGATGGCTCCAGCTTTGTTTTTTTGGCTTAGGATTGACTTGGCAATGTGGGCTCTTTTTTGGTTCCATATGAACTTTAAAGTAGTTTTTTCCAATTCTGTGAAAAAAGTCATTGGTAGCTTGATGGGGATGGCATTGAATCTACAAATTACCTTGGGGAGTATGGCCTTTTCATGATATTGATTCTTCCTACCCATGAGCATGGAATGTTCTTCCATTTGTTTATATCCTCTTTTATTTCATTGAGCAGTGGTTTGTAGTTCTCCTTGAAGAGGTCCTTCACATCCCTTGTCAGTTGGATTCCTAGGTATTTTATTCTCTTTGAAGCAATTGTGAATGGGAGTTCACTCATGATTTGGCTCTCTGTTTGTCTGTTATTGGTGAATAAGAATGCTTGTGATTTTTGTACATTGATTTTGTATCCTGAGACTTTGCTGAAGTTGCCTATCAGCTTAAGGAGATTTTGGGCTGAGACAATGGGGTTTTCTAAATATACAATCATGTCATCTGCAAACAGGGACAATTTGACTTCCTCTTTTCCTAATTGAATACCCTTTATTTCCTTCTCCTGCCTGATTGCCCTGGCCAGAACTTCCAACACTATGTTGAATAGGAGTGGTGAGAGAGGGCATCGCTGTCTTGTGCCAGTTTTCAAAGGGAATGCTTCCAGTTTTTACCCATTCAGTATGATATTGGCTGTGGGTTTGTCATAAATAGCTCTTATTATTTTGAGATATGTCCCATCAATACCTAATTTATTGAGAATTTTTAGCATGAAAGGCTGTTGAATTTTGTCAAAGGCCTTTTCTGCATCTATTGAGATAATCATGTTGTTTTTGTCGTTGGTTCTGTTTATATGCTGGATTATGTTTATTGATTTGCATATGTTGAACCAGCCTTACATCCCAGGGATGAAGCCCACTTGATCATGGTGGATAAGCTTTTTGATGTGCTGCTGGATTCAGTTTGCCAGTATTTTATTGAGGATTTTTGCTTCGATGTTCATCAGGGATATTGGTCTAAAATTTTCTTTTTTTGTTGTGTCTCTGCCAGCCTTTGGTATCAGGATGATGCTGGCCTCATAAAATGAGTTAGGGAGGATTCCCTCTTTTTCTGTTGATTGGAATAGTTTCAGAAGGAATGGTACCAACTCCTCCTTGTACCTCTGGTAGAATTCGGCTGTGAATCCGTCTGGTCCTGGACTTTTTTTGGTTGGTAAGCTATTAATTATTGCCTCAATTTCAGAGCCTGTTATTGGTCTATTAAGAGATTCAACTTTTTCCTGGTTTAGTCTTGGGAGGGTGTATGTGTTGAGGAATTTATCCATTTCTTCTAGATTTTCTAGTTTATTTGCGTGGAGGTGTTTATAGTATTCTCTGGTGGTAGTTTGTATTTCTGTGGGATCAGTGGTGATATCCCCTTTATCATTTTTTATTGCATCTGTTTGATTCTTCTCTCTTTTCTTCTTTATTAGTCTTGCTAGCGGTCTATCAATTTTGTTGATCTTTTCAAAAAACCAGCTCCTGGATTCATTGATTTTTTGAAGGGTTTTTTGTGTCTCTATCTCCTTCAATTCTGCTCTGATCTTAGTTATTTCTTGCCTTCTGCTAGCTTTTGAATGTGTTTGCTCTTGCTTCTCTAGTTCTTTTAATTGTGATGTTAGGGTGTCAATTTTAGATCTTTCCTGCTTTCTCTTGTGGGCATTTAGTGCTATAAATTTCCCTCTACACACTGCTTTAAATGTGTCCCAGAGATTCTGATATGTCATGTCTTTGTTCTCGTTGGTTTCAAAGAACATCTTGATTTCTGCCTTCATTTCGTTATGTACCCAGTACTCATTCAGGAGCAGGTTGTTCAGTTTCCATGTAGTTGAGTGGTTTTGAGTGAGTTTCTTAATCCTGAGTTCTAGTTTGATTGCACTGTGGTCTGAGAGACAGTTTGTTATAATTTTTGTTCTTTTGCATTTGCTGAGGAGTGCTTTACTTCCAACTATGTGGTCAATTTTGGAATACGTGTGGTGCGGTGCTGAGAAGAATGTACAGTTCATTGATTTGTGGTGGAGAGTTCTGTAGATGTCTATTAGGTCCGCTAGGTGAGGACCTAGTTCAATTCCTGGATATCCTTGTTGACTTTCTGTCTCGTTGATCTGTCTAATGTTGGCAGTGGGTTGTTAAAGTCTCCCATTATTATTGTGTGGGAGTCTAAGTCTCTTTGTAGATCACTCAGGACTTGCTTTATGAATCTGGGTGCTCCTGTATTGGGTGCATATATATTTAGGATAGTTAGCTTTTCTTGTTGAATTGATCCCTTTACCATTATGTAATGGCCTTGTCTCTTTTGATCTTTGTTGGTTTAAAGTCTGTTTTATCAGAGACTAGGATTGCAACCCCTGCCTTTGTTTTCCATTTGCTTGGTAGATCTTCCTCCATCCCTTTATTTTGAGCTTATGTGTGTCTCTGCACGCGAGATGGGTTTCCTGAATACAGCACACTGGTGGGTCTTGACTGTTTATCCAATTTGCCAGTCTGTGTCTTTTAATTGGAGCATTTAGCCGATTTAAATTTCAGGTTAATATTGTTATGTGTGAATTTGATCCTGTCATTATGATGTTAGCTGGTTATTTTGCTCGTTAGTTGATGCAGTTTCTTCCTAGCCTCGATGGTCTTTACAATTTGGCATGTTTTTGCAGCGGCTGGTACCAGCTGTTCCTTTCCATGTTTAGTGCTTCCTTCAGGAGCTCTTGTAGGGCAGGCCTGGTGGTGACAAAATCTCTCAGCATTTGCTTATCTGTAAAGTATTTTATTTCTCCTTCACTTATGAAGCTTAGTTTGGCTGGATATGAAATTCTGGGTTGAAAATTCTTTTCTTTAAAAATGTTGAATATTCTTAAAGAAATGCTCTCCTGGCTTGTAGAGTTTCTGCCAAGAGATCAGCTGTTAATCTGATGGGCTTCCCTTTGTGGGTAACCTGACCTTTCTCTCTGGCTGCCCTTAACATTTTTTCCTTCATTTCAACTTTGGTGAATCTGACAATTATGTGTCTTGGAGTTGCTCTTCTCAAGGAGTATCTTTGTGGCATTCTCTGTATTTCCTGAATTTGAACATTGGCCTGCTTTGCTAGATTGGGGAAGTTCTCCTGGATAATATCCTGCAGAGTGTTTTCCAACTTGGTTCCATTCTCCCCATCACTTTGAGGCACACTGGTCAGACGTAGATTTGGTCTTTTCACATAGTCCCATATTTCTTGGAGGCTTTGTTCGTTTCTTTTTATTCTTTTTTCTCTAAACTTCTCTTCTTGCTTCATTTCATTCATTTCATCTTCCATCACTGATACCCTTTCTTCCAGTTGATCGAATCGGCTACTGATGCTTGTGCATTCGTCACGTAGTTCTCATGCCGTGGTTTTCAGCTCCATCAGGTCCTTTAAGGACTTCTCTGCACTGGTTATTTTAGTTAGCCATTCGTCTAATCTTTTTTCAAGGTTTTTAACTTCTTTGCGATGGGTTCAAACTTCCACCTTTAGTTCGGAGAAGTTTGATCATCTGAAGCCTTCTTCTCTCAACTCATCAAAGTCATTCTCTGCCCAGCTTTGTTCCATTGCTGGTGAGGAGCTGCATTCGTTTGGAGGAGGAGAGGCGCTCTGATTTTTAGAATTTTAAGTTTTCCTGTTCTGTTTTATCCCCATCTTTTTGGTTTTATCTACCTTTGGTCTTTGATGATGGTGATGTACAGATGGGGTTTTGGTGTAGATGTCCTTTCTGCTTGTCAGTTTTCCTTCTAACAGTCAGGACCCTCAGCTGCAGGTGTGTTGGAGTTTGCCAGAGGTCCACTCCAGACCCTGTTTGCCTGGGTATCAGCAGCGGAGGCTGCAGAACAGCAAATATTGCTGAACAGCAAATGTTGCTGTCTGATCGATCCTCTGGAGGTTTCATCTCAGAGGGGTACCTGGCCGTGTGAGGTGTCAGTCTGCCCCTACTGGGAGGTGCCTCCCAGTTAGGCTACTCAGGGGTCAGGGACCCACTTGAGGAGGCAGTCTGTCCGTTCTCAGATCTCAAGCTGCATGCTGGGAGAACCACTACTCTCTTCAAAGCTATCAGACAGGGACATTTAAGTCTGCAGAGGTTTCTGCTGCCTTTTGTTTGTCTGTGCCCTGCCCGCAGAGGTGGAGTCTAAAGAGGCAGGCAGGCCTCCTTGAGCTGCGGTGGGCTCCACCCAGTTCGAGCTTCCTGGCTGCTTTGTTTACCTACTCAAGCCTCGGCAATGGCGGGTGCCCCTCCCCCAGCCTCGCTGCCGCCTTGCAGTTTGATCTCAGACTGCTGTGCTAGCAATGAGCCAGGCTCAGTGGGCGTAGGACCCTCCGAGCCAGGCGCAGGATATAGTCTCCTGGTGTGCTGTTTGCTAAGACCGTTGGAAAAGCGCAGTATTAG
This sequence comes from Homo sapiens, assembly GCF_000001405.40. Lineage (NCBI taxonomy): Eukaryota > Metazoa > Chordata > Mammalia > Primates > Hominidae > Homo > Homo sapiens. The sequence goes on along the minus strand of NT_187541.1, from coordinate 29,844 downwards.
GGTGGGAGTGACCTGATTTTCCAGGTGCTGTCTGTCACCCCTTTCCTTGACTAGGAAAGGGAATTCCCTGACCCCTTTTGCTTCCCGGGTGAGGTGATGCCTCACCCTGCTTCGGGTCACGCTCAGTGTGCTGCACCCACTGTCCTGCACCCACTGTCCAACAATCCCCAGTGAGATGAAACTGGTACATCAGTTGGAAATGCAGAAATCATCCGTCTTCTGTGTCACTCATGCTGGGAGCTATAGACTGGAGCTGTTCCTTCCTATTCAGCCATCTTGGAACTGCCCCCCGGGAAAGCTCTTAAACAATTGTAGTTAAAATGTCTTACATTTTCAAATTTGACAAAAAATATATGTTTTTGTGACTCTGTTGCTGGAACTCCTCTTAGACCTTGCAAGGGGCCTGTGCAAATGAGGGACTCTAAAGTTTAAGATTCATTGTTTCTTGGTAAATCTGCCTCTATTTATTACTTAAATTTAGAGGTGTAAATAGAAGCATGATATACATATAGTTAAATAATCACTCCCTGCTGAAAGCATGAGATAATATTTAAATTTTAGAGTATAGTAGATTAGGTACTGATGCATGTGCACATCCTGTATGTGTTATAGAAAACATGTAATTCTTCAGTCCTTGGCACGTATTAGACAAAAATGTTTTAGGAATGAATATCTGCATGAGTAAATATTTAAATAAGTATTGATTGAGACTGTTATGAAAAACTAACATATAAGTAACTTATCTCTATCACTCACTAAATCTCACCATTGGAAATGTTGAGAGTCATGTGATAATGTGATATGAAAGGTTACATTTATTAAGTGATGCTATGTGCTAGACTATCTAAGAAAATATAACTTTTTGTTTAATTTATTTAAGATATAAATGTAGTCCATGGTTTTTTAAAAAAAACTGAAAGATAACATTCAATCCAACAAATCCACATTTACATTTCAAGTTATATCACTAAATATATCACTAAATATAAGTGACCTCTTTTAAATTTATATATTTCTGAAATCTTTTTAATATTTCATCTATAATAAGGGCTATTTTTTCCTTTATGTAGCAACACAGACTCTCACTGATGCCAACAATATTTGAGTTAAAGCTGTGGTTCCCACATTAAATAATTCTACCACATTTCATATTGGGTATTTTTAGAAAAAAATTTCCAGTGACTATTTTAGTAGAAAAATAGTAATTTTTTTCCAGTAACTATTTGCCCTAATCTGAAAAATATTTCTGGCATCCACAGTTACATATTTGGACAGTCATGTGAATCTAATATAAACAAAGATACTCTTGAGTACTAAGAGAATATACCAAGGAAAGTGAGATAAAGTAATTATTTTAGAGGAACTTATTGACTTTAATTCAAATGCATAAAATGAAAATCGTTTTAGGACAATTCAAATAGTTTTTGTAATCATATTTTAAGAACATGATTATCACTATAAATTATTGGAGAATATGATTAGCAATGTTATAGTGTATTGAACATTCTAAGTTTGATATTTTCATCATGATGAGGTGCATCAAGACAGAAATTTGGGATTCTGAGGAATGATTTCTTGGGTAGCTGAATTAGATTAACTGACATTTTTAAATTGATAAAAATAATTCATCTTATTTGCGCATCCTAAATGTACACTAATGTTTATATGTGACTCAGATTTTATTCCACTTAATTAAATAAAAATATTTATGCAAAGCACTAAGAACATTGCCTGGCACAAAGAAAAAATGTTAGTATGTAAGTGCAACCCCCTACCTCCTAATTAAATTTAATAAGGATGTTAGTTACATAATCTTGTACCCAAAGTTATGCTAGACTGTCTAATCAAGAAAGATATCTTTTTGTTTTATTTATTTAAGATATAAATGTAGTCCATGTTTTTTTTTTTTTTTAAATAACTGAAAAATAACAATCCAAGAAATACAACATTTACATTTCAGGGCCAGGTGTGGTGGCTCACGCCTGTAATCCCAGCACTTTGGGAGGCTGAGGCGGGCTGATCATGAGGTCAGGAGATCAAGACCATCCTGGCTAACATGGTGAAACCCCATCTCTACTAAAAATACAAAAAAAAAAAAAAATTAGCCATGTGCGGTGGTGGGCACCTGCAGTCCCAGCTACTGAGGAGGCTGAGGCAGGAGAATGGTGTGAACCCGGGAGGCAGAGCTTGCAGGGAGCCAAGATTGCACCACTGCACTCCAGCCTGGGTGACAGAGCGAGACTCCATCTCAAAAAAACAAACAAACAAACAAACAAACAAAAACAAAAACAAAAAACAGAAATGCAACATTTACATTTCAAGTTATAACAGACAGTAATAATAAAATATTATGACATTGTCTCTACCCTTGAGAAGTTTATGGCTTTGCTGCCACAATTTGGGAATAAACCCATATGTAAATAAATGCTTTGTTGGCTTACATAAATGGTAGGTAGGTAGCTATTTAGAGAAAGACAGTAATATAACCCAGAGTGATCAGATAGAATGTGAACTGGATCTTAATGAATGAAAAGGGTTTGGATAGGCAATGAAGAAAGAGCTTCTTGGGAAAGTAAATTTTTTTTTCATTCATAAGGAGAGCAAGTTTGAATCAAAGTTTAATTTGATTATTTTGCAAACTTGTCTCAGAATGACAGACTGGACAGGAAGATCATCTCCCACAGTCAGGAAACAGGATGGGTCCCCAAGATCTAATGTCAAATAATGGGTGGCACTTGGGTGGGAAAAAAGCTGGTCAGGGTATTTGAGGATCTGCACCAATCCATTGAGGCTGGGTAACACAGGGATGAATGAATCTTATGTTCAGTAACCTGCATTTTGGAAATCTATTTCTCCCTTTCTATTTACTAAATTTCTCCTTTAAAAATGTTTGCTTATCTCACACATGCCAAGGAGAAACAAGGACAGCAGTATTTCTTTGTCCGTGTATGGACAACTATACTTCAGGGACTTGGGCAGGATGGGACTGATGGGAATCAAAGTAAGAGAACCCCAAGGGGAGCCACATCCAAGAAGGCAAAATGCGACTGAGGACATAGTCACCTCTTCCATGCCTCCCAGAGCTTGGCAGGTCTCTGTTTTGTTTGAATGGGCAGCTGGCTATTCCATTCCATGCCTCCCCCCAAAGAAAGTGGCAAAGGGGAGAATAAGGACCTGAGCTATAAATCAGAAAATCAGAGTTCTGACCCTTATTGCTATGCAACACTGGAATAACCCCTAAAGCCCAGCATGACTTGACATCTGCCTGTCTTGCCAACCTCAGCTCATACCATCCCCTTCTTGCTCATTTCACCCGCTCACGATGCTTAGGGCTGAGCTTATTCCTGCCTCCTGACTGACCTTGTCCTTGCTGTTTGCCCTGCTCAGAATGTTCCTCCCTCTTCACACAGTGCTTTACACTCTCAGGCTCCTTCTCATTGTTCCCATCTCAGAGTCACTTCTTCACTGGGGTCTTCCCATCAAAATGACCTCTTACCCAGTCTGTCTCTCATGTCTTGGTCCAACTCTTCAGAGCTCTTATTACTTTCTGAAATTACTTTGTATATCTGTTTGCTTTTTTGCTTATGGTCTGTCTTCCTCCCTCTAGGTTATGAGCCTCAGAAAGCTTGGTATGTCTTGTTTGCTGCTGTTACTCACACGAGTGCCTGGTACTTGGTAGGCATGAAGTAAAAATTTGTTGAATAAATTGAATGAATGATGGTGAAGTGAAAGAGAAAAATAGTTTTATGTGTATATATGAATGTGCTGCGTGTGCATGCATTTATCTACACCTTGATCTGTTTCACAAAATGGTTTGAGGTGGCTTACAAGAAGCACTTGGCCTTGAATCTAGGAATCAATTCATTTCTCATTTTATTGATACCTATGCCATTTTTATTGGGATCTATGCATTCAGCTACAGTAAAGAGCATAGATTTCACTTTCTGGTCCTCACAGACTATATAGAATAGCTGCTGCTTTTCTTCCTATCTGTCATACTGTTATCAAACTATTGCCATGATTGCTAGTTATTTAGCAAATCAGGTACAATTATGTCAGTTATTTCTTTTTGTACTGGTATATACAACATAAAAATCTAGGAGCAACTAAAAGCAAATTATGTATTTTATCAGCAAAAACACCAGTGAGTTTTCTTCAACTCTTGAGTGTCAGTATTTCCATAACATATGAAATTCTAGTTAAAAAGTTTGCATCTGTCATTATTCATTACCAGTGAAGACATCTCAATAGAGAAGACAGATTAAAAATTTTAAATGACATAATTATAAGGAAAATTGCAAGAGCCCAAATTGCCTGCTGCCCCACTCCAAGAATCCCTTTTGCCATTCAGTAGATAGAAAATATGCATCTAATTAGTTTGTTTTTTCCTGGTGTATGGAAGGATGGATGAAGCAATCCATCATTATGGAGGAATTAAAGGTCAGGCTATCATCTGACATAGAGTACAGGGAAACTCCACAAATGTGGTTTTTAGTAAGTTGCTTACATTTTTATTTATTTATTTGGCTGCCTGTTTACTCATCTGTACATTTAGAGGATTAGACCTTCAAGCATCATCTTCCAGTTCTGAAATTCCAGGATTCATTCAACTCTGACTTTTCCCTGTCTCCTTTGGTTACATGTCAGAGCACACCAATGGGCATGCCCACGCTAATTTAAATTCCCTAAAATGATCCATTGTGGGTTTCAGGAGAGCAGAGAAGTTTCCAACAGAAGAGGCGATGGGTGACACTCTTCCTTACTGGGAGGCTGTAGGTACATGTCATGGTCACAGCCATCTTGGACCTCAAGTCTAACTTGAGGATCATGGTCAAATCCTTGGAGATCTTGTTCAAAGGATAAATATGACATAACATGAGTTTACCTTTTGATGCTAAAGGAATCTTCCAATTAGAATTGATCATTTATCAACTGTATCTCAAAATTCAGGATACATGGCCAGACACAGTGGCTCACGCCTGTAATCCCAGCACTTTGGGAGGCTGAGGCGGGTGGATCACAAGGTCAGGAGTTTGAGACCAGCCTAGCCAACATGGTGAAACCCCATCTCTACTAAAATTACAAAAATTAGGCGAGCGTGGTGGCATGCACCTGTAATCCCAGCTACTCGGGAGGCTGAGGCAGGAGAATTGCTTGAACCCAGGAGGCGGAGGTTGCAGTGAGCTGAAATTGTGCCACTGCACTCCAGCCTGGGCGACAGAGCAAGACTGTGTCTCAAAAAAAAAAAAAAAAAAAAAATCAGGATACATGTGGGATAGATTGTTTTTACTTGACCATCTACAATATAGTTTATCTCAAAGTATGGTCTGTGAACCTGAAGCACTAAAATACCCTTGTATGTGTGCTAAAATGCAGATTCCTTGGCTTCACCTCAGACCTACTGAATTAGAATCTGGCAGAAGGAGATGATGCCGTGGGATCTGCAATTTTCACAGATTCCCCAGGTGATTCTTACACTCAGGTTTGAAAAACCACCATGCTAATGGGTTGGAAATAATTCCTTTCTAAGTATCTTGTTGAACATAGGCAAAAAAGCAAGGTAGATCTACATAACTTAGTTAATGGGCAAATCCTACTTCATTACACTGAAAAAAAAAGATTAGCTTGACCTATACAACAGTTTGATTTGCCTTGTAATATATAATCTTATGAGTAATTTCATTTGCATATCTTCCTCCTAAATTTCTGTTCTTGAATTTATTAGATTTGTAGTATTTCTGCTTATTTTTAGCTGCCATTAAATTAAAAGTAATAGATAAAATTATTTGATTTTTCTCTTTTTAAGGTTTCTATACTTAATATAAAAAACTGCTTATTATTTACTATTTATTAAATTTTTAAATTGATGACTAAAAATTGTATTATTTGTGGCACACAGCATGATATTTTGATATATGTATACATTGTAGAATGGCTAAATCAAGCTATTTAACATATGCATCACCTCACATAGTTACCATTTTTTGTGTATGGTAAGAAACTTAAAATCTACCTCTTCACAATGTTCAAGTATACGATATATTGTTATTAACTATAGTACCATGGTATGCAGTAGATCTCTTGAACTTACTCCTCCTGTGTAACTGAAACTTTGTGTCTTTGACCAACATTTCACCAAACTCCCTACCCCTTAGCCTCTGGTAACTACTATTTTACTCTCTGTTTCTATGAGTTTGAATTTTTTGGATTCCACATATAAATAAGATCATGCAATTTTTAAATCTTTTTGTGTCTGGGTAATTTCACTTAATGTTCTCCAGGTTCACCCATGTTGTCGCAAATTAGATTTCCTTCTTATTTAAGGCGGAATAGTATTCCACTTTGTATATATACTACATTTTCTTTATCCATTCATCTGCTGATAGATACTTAGGTTGTTTACATGTCTTAGCTGTTGTGAATAATGCTGCAGTGAACATGGGAGTGCACATATCTCTTTGACATACTGATTTCATCTCCTTTGGATATATATGCAGAAATGGCATGGCTGAATCACATACTAGTTATATTTTAATTTTTTGAGGAACCTCCATACTATTTTCCATAATGGCTGTACTAACTTACATCCCCACCAAGAGTGTACAGGGTTCCCTTTTTTCCACATCCTTGCCAACTTGTGATATCTTTCATGTTTTTGATAGTAGCCATTCTAACAGGTGTGAGATGATACCCCATTGTGGTTTTAATTTGCATTCTCTCATGATTAGTGATGTTGAACATTAAAAAAATATACCTATTAACCATTTATGCCCTCATTTTTTGAGTATAAAGAATTTTAATTTAAAAATCGTTCTTGAACAATAATAGTCCTTAAATTTCAGTAACAGCATGTAACTGAAGATATTTGCTTTATCATACCCCAAAATAAATATTTACTTTTTAAATTGACAGATAAAATTGTATGTATGTATTGTGTACAACATAATATTTTGAAGTATTTATACATTGTGGAATGACTAAATCTAGCTAATTAACATATGCATTACCTCATATGGCTGTCATTTTTGTGGTGATAACATTTTTTCATAATAAAAAAATTTATAGGACATTCTTTTTTTTTTTTTTTTTTGAGACGGAGTCTCGCTCAGTCGCCCAGGCTAGAGTGCAGTGGCGCTGATCTCGGCTCACCGCAAGCTCCGCCTCCCGGGTTCACACCATTCTCCTGCCTCAGCCTTCCGAGTAGCTGGGACTATAGGCGCCCGCCACTACGCCCGGCTAATTTCTTTTTTTTTGTATTTTTAGTAGAGACGGGGTTTCACCGTGTTAGCCAGGATGGTCTCGATCTCCTGACCTCGTGATCTGCCCGTCTCGGCCTCCCAAAGTGCTGGGATTACAGGCGTGAGCCACCGCGCCCGGCGGACGTTCTTACAACTAAATCTTTTTTATTTTTATTTTACTTTAAGTTCTGGGATACATGTGCAGAATGTGCATGTTTGCTACATAGGTATACATGTGCCATGGTGGTTTGCTGTACCTATCAACCCATCATCTAGGTTTTAAGCCCTGCATGCATTAGGTATTTGTTGTAATGCTTTCCCTCCCCTTGCCCCCCACCCCCTTGGCAGGCCCCGGTGTGTGATGTTACCCTCTATGTGTCCATGTGTCCTCCTTGTTTTACTCCCACTTATTAGTGAGAACACGCAGTGTTTGGTTTTCTGTTCCTGTGTTAGTTTGCTGAGAATGATGGCTTCCAGCTTCATCCATGTCTCTGCAAAGGGCATGAACTCACTCCTTTTATGGCTGCATAGTATTCCATGTGCATATGTGCCACATTTTCTTTATACAGTCTATCATTGATGGGCATTTGGGTTGGTTCCAAGTCTTTGCTATTGTGAATAGTGATGCAATAAACATACGTGTGCATGTGTCTTTATAGTAGCATGATTTATAATTCTTTGGGTATATACCCAGTAAGGGGATTGCTGGGTCAAATGGTATTTTTTGTTCTAGATCCTTGAGGAATTGCCACACCGTCTTCCACAATGGTTGAACTAATTTACACTCTCACAGTGTAAAAGCATTCCTATTTCTGTGGTGAGAACATTTTATATCCACTCTCAGCATTTTTCAAGAATACAATATTTTGTTAACTGTAGTCGTCATGTTATACAATATGTATGTCTTCTTTTGAGAAATGTCTATTCAGGTCCTTTGCCCATTTTTTAATTGGGCTATTTGTTTTCTTACTATTGAGTTGTTTGAGTTCATTATATGTATTTAGATATTATCCTCTTAGCAGACATATGGTTTGCAAATATATTCTCCCATTCTATAGGTTGTCTCTTTTTACTCTGCTGATTGTTTCCTTTGTGGTACAGAAGCTTTTTAGATTGATATAATCTCATTTGTCTATTTTTGCTTTTGTTGCCATGCTTTTGGAGTCATATGCAAAAAGTCTTTGCCTAGACCAGTGTTATGCAGCTTTCCCTCTATGTTTTCTTCTAGGAGGTTTGAAGTTTCAAGTCCTACATTTAAGTCTTTAATTCATTTTGCATTGAGTTTTTTACATGGTGTGAGGTGATGATCTAATTCCATTCTTCTGTATATGAATATCCAGTTTTCAAAGCACCATTTATTGAAGAGTGTTCTTTTCCCATTGTGTGTTCATGACATCCTTGTTGAGAATCAATGGACTTTAAATGTGTGGATTTATTTCTGGGCTCTTTGTTCTATTCCATTGGTGCATGTGACTTTTTTTATGCCAGTACCATGCTTTTTTGGTTATTGTAATTCTGTAGTAGATTTTCAAATCAGGTAGTGTGATACCTCCCTCTGTTCTTTTTGCTCAAGACTGCTTTGGCTATTCAGAGTCTTTTGTGGTTTCATATGAATTTTAAGATTGTTTTTTCTATTTCTGTAAAAATGTCGTTGGAATTTTGATAGAAATTGGATTGAATCTGTATATTAATTTGAGCAGTATGGACATTTTAGCAATTTTTAAAAATTGTATACATTTTTAAATTGTTTCATTTCTATTTAATTGACAAATAATACCATCCAATTCATGGAGTACATAGTGATGTTTCAGCATAATGTATTCTATTAGGGTAATTAGCATATCTATCATCTCAAACATTTATCATTTATTTGTGTTGTGAAGATTTAATATCCTCCTTCTAGCTATTTGAAACTATATAACATATTATTGTTAACTGCAATAATTCTACAGTGGTATAGAACACTTTTGTCTCCTATCTAGCTATAATTTTGGATCCTCTAACATATCTCTCCCAATTATCCCCTCCTTTCCCTTACCTTTTTGAGCCTCTACTACCCTGTCCTACTTTTTACTTCTATGAGATCAATGTTTTTGTTTCCACTTCCAAGTGAGAACCTGCAGTGCTTAACTTTCTGTTCTTTGCTTGTTTAACTTGAGATAGTGTCCTCCAATTCCATCCATGTTGCCACAAATAAAAGGATTTCATTCTGTTTTATGGCTAAATAGTATTCCACGGTGTATATATACTACTTTTAAAAATCCATTCATCTGTTGCTGGATACTGATGTTGATTCCATCTCTTGGCTGTTGAAAATAGTGCTGCAATAAATATAGGGTACAAATGTTCCTTCAATATAATGATTTCCTTTCCTTTGGATAAATTCCCAGTCGTGGCTTGCTGGATCATACGGTAGTTCTGTTTGTAGTTTTTTGAGAAACCTCCATACTGTTCTCCATAGTAGCTGTACTAGTTTACATTCCCATCAACGGTGTATAAAAGTTCCCTTTTCTCTGCATCCTCATCAGCATCTTTTTTTATCCTTTTGATAATAGCCATGCTAAATGGAGTGAGATTATACCTCACTGTGGTTTTGATTTGCATTTCCCTGATGATTAATGATATTGAGCATTTTTTCATATGTTTGTTAGCTGTTTGCATGTCTCCCTTTGAGAAACGTCTGTGCAAATCATCTGCCCATTTTAAAAACAGATTTTTGTTTTGCTGTTGAGATGGTTCCGTTCCTTGTATATTCTGGATATTAATCCCCTGTCAGATGAGTAATTTTTAAATGTTTTCTCCTATTCTGTAGGTTGCCTTTTCACTGTTGATATTTCCTTTGCTGTGCAGAAGTTTTTTAGTTTGATATAATCCCATTTGTTTATTTTTCCTATTGACGCCTGTGCTTTTGAGGTCTTATTCATAAAATCTTTCCCAGACCATTGCTGTGAAGCATCTTCTCTGTGTTTTCTTCTAGTCGCTTTATTGTTTTTCTTCTTCATTTAGGCCTTTGACCCATTTTGAGTTGATTTTTGTATAGGGTGAGAGGTGGGGGTCTAGTTTCATTCTTCTGCATATGGATATCCAGTTTTCCCAGCACCATTTGTTGAAGAGACTGTCCTTTCTCCAGTGAGTATTCTTGACATCTTTGTCAGAAATCTGTTGGCTGTGGATATGTGGATTAAATTCTGGGTCCCTCATTCTCTTCCATTTGACTATGTATGAGTTTTTATGTCAGTACCATGCTGTTTTGGTTACTACAGCTTTAAGCTATACTACTACTAAAGCTGTAGTAACCAAAACAGCATGGTACTGACATTTAGTTTCTAGTGGAGATACATTGTAGTTCTGATTTTGAGATCTGGTGGTATGGTACCTTTGGCTTTATTCTTTTTGCTTGTGATGGCTTTGCTATTCGGGTTTTTTATGGTCATTTTAACCATATTAATTATTCCAATCCATGAACATGGAATATCTTTTCATTTATGTTTGTCTTTTTCAATTTTGTTCATCAGTGTTTTATAGTTTTCAGAGTACAGATCTTTCACTCCCTTGGTGAAATTTATTCCTAAGTATCTTATTTTTTGAGTTGCTATCATAAACAAGATCATTTTCATGATTTTTTGGGGGGTAGTTTGTTGTTAGTGTATAGAAATGCTACTGATTTTTGTTATGTTGATTTTTTTTATCCTGCAACTTCACTGAATTTGTTTACTTGTTCTAATATTTTTATTTGTAGAGTCTTTAGGGTTTTCTTTTTTTATTATACTTTAAGTTATAGGGTACATGTGCACAACGTGCAGGTTTGTTACATAGGTATACATGTGCCGTGTTGGTTTGCTGCACCCATCAACTCGTCATTTACGTTAGGTATTTCTCCTAACGCTATCCCTCCCCCAACCCCCTACCCCATGACAGGCCCCGGTGTGTGATGTTCCCCACCCTGTGTCCAAATGTTCTCATTGTTCAATTCCCACCTATGAGTAAGAACGTGCAGTGTTTGGTTTTCTGTCCTTATGATTCTTTGCTCAGAATGATGGTTTCCAGCTTCATCCATGTCCCTACAAAGGACATGAACTATCCTTTTTTATGGCTGCATAGTATTCCATGGTGTATATGTGCCACATTTTCTTAATCCTGTCTATCATTGATGGACATTGGGTTGGTTCCAAGTCTTTGCTATTGTGAATAGTGCTGTAATAAACATATGTGTGTATGTGTCTTTATAGTAGCATGATTTATAATCCTTTGGGTATATACCCAGTAATGGGATGGCTGGATCAAATGGTATTTCTAGTTCTAGATCCTTGAGGAATCGCCACATTGTCTTCCACAATGGTTGAACTAGTTTACAGTCCCACCAACAGTGTAAAAGCTTTCCTATTTCTCCACATCCTCTCCAGCATCTGTTGTTTCCTGACTTTTTAATGATCCCCATTCTAACTGGTGTGAGATGGTATCTCATTGTGGTTTTGATTTGCATTTCTCTGATGGTCAGTGATGATGAGCATTTTTTCACGTGTCTGTTGGCTGCATAAATGTCTTCTTTTGAGAAATGTCTGTTCATAACCGTTGCCCACTTTTTGATGGGGTTTTTTTTTCTGTAAATTTGTTTAATTTCTTTGTAGATTCTGGATATTAGCCCTTAGTCACATGGGTAGATTGCAAAAATTTTCTCCCATTCTGTAGGTTGCCTGTTCACTCTGATGGTAGTTTCTTTTGCTGTGCAGAAGCTCTTTAGTTTGATTAGATCCCATTTGTCTATTTTGGCTTTTGTTGCTATTGCTTTTGGTGTTTTAGTCATGAAGTCCTTCCACATGACTATGTCCTGAATGGTATTGCCTAGATTTTCTTCTGGGGTTTTTATGGTTTTAGGTCTAACATTTAAGTCTTTAATCCATCTTGAATTAATTTTTGTATAAAGTGTAAGGAAGGGATCCAGTTTCACCTTTCTACATGTGGCTAGCCAGTTATCCCAGAACCATTTATTAAATAGGGAATCCTTTCCCCATTTCTTGTTTTTGCAAGGTTTGTCAAACATCAAATGGCTGCAGATGTGTGGTGTTATTTCTGAGGGCTCTGTTCTGTTCCATTGGTCTATATCTCTGTTTTGGTACCAGTACCATACTGTTTTGGTTACTGTAGCCTTGTAGTATAGTTTGAAATCAGGTAGTATGATGCCTCCAGCTTTGCTCTTTTTACTTAGGATTGTCTGGCAATGCGGTCTCTTTTATGGTTCCATATGAACTTTAAAGTAGTTTTTTCCAATTCTGTGAAGAAAGTCATTGGTAGCTTGATGGTGATGGCATTCAATCTATAAATTGCCTTGGGCAGTATAGCTGTTTTCACGATATTGCTTCTTTCTATCCATGAGCATGGAATGTTCTTCCATTTGTTTGTGTCCTCCTTTATTTCGTTGAGCAGTGGTTTGTAGTTCTCCTTGAAGAGGTCCTTCACATCCCTTGTCAGTTGGATTCCTAGGTATTTTATTCTCTTTGTAGCAATTGTGAATGGGAGTTCACTCAAGATTTGGCTCTCTGTTCATCTGTTATTGGTGTATAGGAGTTCTTCTGATTTTTGTACATTGATTTTGTATCCTGAGACTTTGCTGAAATTGCTTATCAGCTTGAGATTTTGGGCTGAGACGATGGGGTTTTCTAAATATACAATCATGTCATCTGCAAACAGGGACAATTTGACTTCCTCATTTCCTAATTGAATACCCTTTATTTCTTTCTCTTGCCTAACTGCCCTGGCCAGAACTTCCAACACTATGTTGAATAAGAGTGGTGAGAGAGGGCATCCCTGTCTTGTGCCAGTTTTCAAAGGGAATGCTTCCAGTTTTTTGCCCATTCGTTGTGATACTGGCTGGGGGTTTGTCATAAACAGCTCTTATTATTTGGAGATACATTCCATCAATACCTAGTTTATTGAGAGTTTTTAGCATGAAGCGCTGTTGAATTTTGTTGAAGGCCTTTTCTGCATCTATTCAGATGAACATGTGGTTTTTGTCGTTGGTTCTGTTTATGTGATGGATTATGTTTACTGATTTGCATATGTTGAACCAGCTTTGCATATAAGGGATGAAGCTGACTTGATTGTGGTGAATAAGCTTTTTGATGTGCTGCTGGATTCAGTTTGCCAGTATTTTATTGAGGATTTTTGCATCTATGTTCATCAGGGATATTGGTCTAAAATTTTCTTTTTTTGTTGTGTCTCTGCCAGGCTTTGGTATCAGGATGATGCTGGCCTCATAAAATGAGTTACGGAGGATTCCCTCTTTTTCTATTGATTGGAATAGTTTCAGAAGGAATGGTACCAACTCCTCCTTGTACCTCTGGTAGAATTCAGCTGTGAATCCATCTGGTCCTGGACTTTTTTTGGTTGGTAGGCTATTAATTATTGCCTCAATTTCAGAGCCTGTTATTGGTCTATTCAGAAATTCAACTTCTTTCTGGTTTAGTCTTGGGAGGGTGTATGTGTCGAGGAATTTATCCATTTCTTCTAAATTTTCTAGTTTATTTGTGTAGAGGTGTTTATAGTATTCTCTGATGGTAGTTTGTATTTCTGTGGCATCAGTGGTAATATCACCTTTATCATTTTTTATTGCGTCTATTTGATTCTTCTCTCCTTTCTTCTTTGTTAGTCTTGATAGTGGTCTGTCAATTTTGTTGATCTTTTCTAAAAAACAGCATCTGGATTCATTGATTTTTTTGAAAGGTTTTTTATGTCTCTATCTCTTTCAGTTCTGCTCTGATCTTACTTATTTCTTGCCTTCTGCTAGTTTTGAATTTGTTTGCTCTTGCTTCTCTAGTTCTTTAAATTGTGATGTTAGGGTGTGTCGATTTTAGATCTTTCCTGCTTTCTCTTGTGGGCATTTAGTGCTATAAATTTCCCTGTACACACTGCAGTAAATGTCTCCCAGAGATTCTGGTATGTTGTATCTTTGTTCTCATTGGTTTCAAAGAACATCTTTATTTTTGCCTTCATTTCGTTATGTACCCAGTAGTCATTCAGGAGCATGTAGTTGTGCAGTTTCGGGTGAGTTTCTTAATCCTGAGTTATAATTTGATTGCACTGTGGTCTGAGAGACAGTTTGTTGTGATTTCTGTTCTTTTACATTTGCTGAGGAGTGCTTTACTTCCAACTATGTGGTCAATTTTGGCATAAGTGCGGTGTGGTGCTGAGAAGAATGTATGTTTCATTGATTTGGGGTGGAGAGTTCTGTAGATGTCTATTAGGTCCACTAGGTGCAGAGCTGAGTTCAAGTCCTGGATATCCTTGTTAACCTTCTGTCTCATTGATCTGTCTAATATTGACAGTGGGGTGTTAAAGTCTCCCATTATTATTGTGTGGGAGTCTAAGTCTCTTTGTAGGTCTCTAAGGACTTGTTTTATGAATCTGGGTGCTCCTGTATTGGGTGCATATATATTTAGGATAGTTAGCTCTTCTTGTTGAATTGAACCCTTTACCATTATATAATGGCCTTCTTTGTCTCTTTTGATCTTTGTTGGTTTAAAGTCTATTTTATCAGAGACTAGGATTACAACCCCTGCCTTTTTTTTTTCTTTCCATTTGCTTGGTAGATCTTCCTCCATCCCTTTATTTTGAGCCTATGTGTGTCTCTGCACATGAGATGGGTTTCCTGAATACAGCACACTGATGGGTCTTGACTCTATCCAATTTGCCAGTCTGTGTCTTTCAAGTGGGGCATTTAGCCCATTTATATTTAAGGTTAATATTGTTAGGTGTGAATTTGAGCCTGTCATTATGATGTTAGCTGTTAGTTGATTCAGTTTCTTCACAGCATCGATGGTCTTTACAATTTGGCATGTTTTTGCAGTGGCTGGTACTGGTTGTTCCTTTCCATGTTTAGTGCTTCCTTCAGGAGCTCTTGTAAGGCAAGCCTGGTGGTGACAAAATCTCTCAGCATTTGCTTGTCTGTAAAGGATTTTATTTCTCCTTCACTTATGAAGCTTAGTTTGGCTGGATATGAAATTCTGGGTTGAAAATTCTTTTCTTTAAGAATGTTGAATATTGGCCTCCACTCTCTTCTGGCTTGTAGAGTTTCTGCAAAGAGATCCGTTGTTAGTCTGATGGGTTTCCCTTTGAAGGTAACCTGATTTTTCTCTCTGGCTGCCCTTAATATTTTTTCCTTCATTTCAACCTTGGTGAATCTGACAATTATGTGTCTTGGAGTTGCTCTTCTTGAGGAGTATCTTTGTGATCTTCTCTGTAGTTCCTGAATTTGAATGTTGGCCTGCCTTGCTAGGTTGGGGAAGTTCTCTTTGATAATATCCTGAAGAGTGTTTTCCAACTTGGTTCCATTCTCCCTGTCACTTTCAGGTACACCAATCAAACATATATTTGGTCTTTTCACATAGTCCCATATTTCTTGGAGGCTTTGTTCATTTCTTTTTACTCTTTTTTTCTAAACTTCTCTTCTCACTTTATTTCATTAATTTGATCTTGTATCACTGATACCCTTTCTTCCACTTGATCAAATCAGCTGCTGAAGCTTGTGCATGCATCACGTAGTTCTCATGCCATGGTTTTCAGCTCTATCAGGTCATTTAAGGTCTTCTCTACACTGTTTATTTTACTTAGCCATTCATCTAATCTTTTTTCAAGGTTTTTAGCTTCCTTGCGATGGGTTCAAACATCCTCCTTTAGCTCAGAGAAGTTTGTTATTACCAACCTTCTGAAGCCTACTTCTGTCAACTCGTCAAAGTCATTCTCCATCCAGCTTTGTTCCATTGCTGGCAAGGAGCTGTGATCCTTTGGAAGAGAAGAGGCTCTCGGTTTTTAGAATTTTCAACTTTTCTGCTCTGGTTTCTCCCCATCTTTGTGGTTTTATCTACCTTTGGTCTTTGATGTTGGTGACCTACAGATGGGGTTTTGGTGTGGATGTCCTTTTTGTTGATGTTGATGTTATTCCTTTCTGTTTGTTAGTTTTCCTTCAAACAGGTCCCTCAGCTGCAGGTCTGTTGGAGTTTGCTGGAGGTCCACTCCAGACCCTGTTTGCCTGGGTACCACCAGCAGAGGCTCAGTTGGAAATGCAGAAATCACCTGTTTTCTGCATCGATCACGCTGGGAGCTGCAGACCGGAGCTGTTCTTATTTGGCCATCTTGGAACAGACCCTAGGATTTTCTTTATATAAGATCATGTCATTCACAAACAGAAATAACTTCTTCCTTTCTGATTTTTTAACTTTTCACTAATGCTAGTTATTGGCTTGTCATATATAGACTTTGTTGTATTAAGATACATTCCTTCTGTACCTAATGTATTGAGAGTATTTATCATTGTAAGATGTTGAATGTTGCCAAATGCCTTTCCTGCATCTATTGAGATGATTATGTGATTCCTGACCTTCATTCTCTTAATGCAGTACATTACATATATTTAATTTACCTATGTTGAACCTTCTTTGCATCCCAGGGTTAATCCTACTTGATCTCGATGAATTATCCTTTTGATGAATTATCCTTTGATGTGCTGTTGAATTTGGCTTGCTAGTATTTTGTTGAGGACTTTTTCATCTATGTTTATCAGGGATATTGGCCTGTAATTTTTATTTTCTTATAGTGTCCTTCTCTGGCTTTGATATGATAAATGAGTTTGGAAGTATGATTGGTGTTAGTTTTTGATTTCATCTTAATGTCTCAAAAGTGCATACTAGTTTGGTTTCATTTAGTTTCTAGTTGAGATATAGTGTATAATTTTTTTTTTTTTACTGTAAGCCACTATCTCCCCACCAAAAGAAAAGAAAAGAAAAGAAACCCTTCATACTGTCAATGATTTAAAAACTAACTCTTGGCAAGGTGCAGTGGGTTACATCTGTAATCCTGGCACTTTGGGAGGTTAAAGCAGGAGGATCTCTGAGGCCAAGAGTTTGAGACCAGCCTGGGCAACATAGTCACCAAGAAGTGACCTCTTCTTTCTGTCCACTGTGATCAGGACAGGTTTTCTTTATGTCACCTATGATGTTTTACACTGCCTTGTTTTATATTCATGTCTGTCTCTCTTTCTATACTGGTCTCCTCCAGGGCAGAATCTGAATCTAGTTTAACTCTAAGATGTCTCAAGTGAAAGTGATCGGCACTTAGTAGATGCTCAATAAATGCATATTGAATAAATAATTGCATAAGTGGATGGATGGATGGCTGGATCAGGTAGAATCTGTAATAATATTCCTACAAGATTAAAGTAGATTATGTGAGCCTCCCACAATCAAACACACGATAGTAATTTGGGAGCTAAAACTCAAACCCAGATCTTCTAACCTAACGCTTTTTCCTTTTCACAATGCTGCCTTCTAAATTTAAAACGCCAACAGTAAAAATACATTGCATAAAAGCACAATAGTATACTTATTAAAATTATTAAGCTAAGTCTTTTAAAATAGGAGGATAAAACTAATCTGATTCCCTCAACACACTTAATTATTTCATTTCCTGATGCTCCCACCTTGTCTCATTTATGAAAGCTTTCATTAAAATTCAGCCAAGGCTTCATATAATTTTGTTAATAAAGTATTGATATTAAAACATCCCTATTCAAGAAATTATAAAAATTATAAATTTTATAATTTAAAAAAACTTTTTAAATTCTATAAATTTTAAAATTTATAATTTATTTCTTCAAAGTGTATTTCACAATTATTTCTTCCCTTCCATTCTCCCTGCTACCATAAGAGGTAGTGAAAATAGTGTGGACATTGGATCCAGAGACATTGGTCTGCATTGCCTTCTTGGAAATGCCACTCCTATGGACCTTACCCAAGTCACCTAACCTGTATGACCCTCAGTTTTCTCATCTAAAAAATGAGAATAATTATATCCACTTCACAGAATTGGCAAGAGCATTAAGTGAGATAATATGTGTTCAGTGCCTGGTACATATTGAGAATGGAAAACAATAATTTCTTCCTCACATAAATTTAGCTCATTTTTTAAAAAGTCCTTGCATTTTTCAGAAAGCAATTAGATCAATGCAAAAAGCAAATCTTATCTTCCAAAGCAGACTGAGGTTTCTTGAAGGCAAAGAACACATCTCATTCGTCTTTCCCATAGTCTCACACATTATAAATAAGTATTTCCTGATTGCTAATCACTTTTATCAGGCATATATATTTATAGACTACTTTTCAGTCACTTTTATGGGTTACTATTCACTATAAACCTCAGCTGAAGGAATGCCTTTTCCTGGAACTTTTCCTAGACCAAGTGGTCACCAAGGAAGTAAGAAGATTCATTATGGGCTTTGCATGTGTTACCAGGCTATGGATGGGGCTCAGGCAGAGAATCAGAAACAAAGCTCATTTAGTTTCATATTATCTGGCCTTTAGACTGACTCCATTCTTGAAGAGCTCTGGAGAAATGAGACTTGAAATTACGTTACAGTCTTCTCAGAGCCTCCTATTAGAAGTCTAATCTATGTTATATTTAATTCTTAGTTTGCATATATGTAATTAAAAAAAATTATTTTATTTATTTATTTATTTGTTTGTTTGTTTGTTTGTTTTTGAGAGGGAGTCTTGCTCTGTCACCCAGGCTGGAGTGCAGTGGCGTGATCTCGGCTCACTGCAACCTCTGCTTCCCAGACTCAAGCACTCATGCAGTTCTCCTGCCTCAGCCTCTACAGGCTGAACACTACAGGCACCTGCCACCACGCCTGGCTAATTTTTGTATTTTTAGTAGAGACAGGGTTTGCCATGTTGGCCAGGCTGGTCTCAAACTCCTTACCTCAAGTGATTCACCTGCCTCAGCCTCCCAAAGTGCTGGGATTACAGGTGTGAAACACCATGCCCAGCCTTAAAAATAATTATTTTAAAACAGATATTTGCGTATGCTCTCACAGCCTAGACAACTATTAATTTTTAGATCGAGGATGTCTAGGCTACCTCATACAAAAGGAGAGCCTCTCACTTATTGAGTAGCTAATATGGGGAAACTACGCTACGAGTTTTATATATGTTCACTCATTTGATCCTACAATGAACCTATAAGTTATTTTATCCTCACTTTACAAATTAAAATAAAAAATAAAAAACCAACTGGGCTTCCTAAAATAAAGGATTGGGTCTAATGTCCCTTACATAGCAAGTTTCAGTACTAGGCTCTGATTCCAAAATTTCTACTCTTATAATAATATCAGCATTTTCTCATAGAGACAAAAGGCAAGAAAATGGAAAAAAGCTGGACTATATGCAAAAACTTAAGTAAGAACAAGGTCCATCATAGGCACAGGTAGTATAAAACAACAAACTCAGATATATATCTATAAATTACCAGCTGGTTGCAGTGGCTCACGCCTGTAATCCCAGCACTTTGGGAGGCTGAGGCAGGTGGATCACATGAGGCCAGGAGTTTGAGACCAGCCTGGGCAACATGGTGAAAACTCATCTCTACAAAAAATATAAAAATTAAACGGATGTGGTGGTGGACACCTGTAGTACCAGCTACTAAGGAGGCTGAGGTAGGGAGATCCCTTGAGCCAGGGAGGTCGAGGCTGCAGTGAACTGAGGTCACGCCACTGCAATCCAGCCTGGGCAACAGAGTGAGATCCTGTCTCAGAAAAAAAATTATTAGAAAACTGGGATATTTTATGTTAAAAGGGGATGATTATTATAAAATTTTATTTTTGGTGGAACCTACATTTGCTCAGAAAAAAATATTCTTAAAATAAGTTTTAAGTTGTTGAAAAAGACCAAAATATTTTATTTACAGTAGCCAAACTGTTTGTTATGTAATCACATACGTGAGTACTTTGAAACATTCTATTTTTCCCTCCACAAACATTTGATTCAAAGATAATGGGGGCACCTAGCTTCTGGGTGCTGGCTCCTCAAACTGGTTTGTAAGTTTCTGCTTAATTTAGGTGTTCGCCTTCCTGTATGGAAATGAAAGCTCAATGCTGAACAGATGTTTACCAATAAACTGTCCAGTTCTGGGCTCTATAACTTAAGAAAAATGTATAAAGATTTGTCTCATGAGTTAAGAAATGAGACTCATGTGTGAGGTAGAAAATAAGACTCATGCATATTGGTTACTAAGAAAATGGAAATTAGGCCAGGTGCGATGACTCATGCCTGTAATCCCAGCACTTTGAGGGGCTGTGAGGCGAGTGGATCACCTGAGATCAGGAGTTCGAGACCAGCCTGACCAACATGGCGAAACACCATCTCTACTAAAAATACAAGTTAGCCAGGTGTGATGGCGGGCACCTGTAGTCCCAGTTACTTGGGAGGCTGTGGCAGGAGAATCACTTGAACTCAGAAGGTGAAGTTTGCAGTGAGCCGAGATCACACAACTGCACTCCAGTCTGGGCAACACAGCAGCATTCCATCTCAAAAAAAAAAAAAAAAAAGAAAATGGAAATTAATTTAGATCATCTGCCCTCCTGAGCAAGACTTTTTCTGTCCTGCAAGTCCTAGCTCAAGTCTGGCTGTCCCCAAAAGTAACAATCATTCATTTTTGCCATTATGATAAATTTTTTAAGACTCAAAACAAAAATAGATTATCTGCCTTGAATTTTTAACAGATATTTTAATTGGTAGTGTGGCTCATTCCTTCTGAATATCTGATTCTGAACTTTACATGGATTTTAGAATACATAGTTTACATTCCTATTTTATTTGACTCCTAAAAGACCATGTGTAGGTTCATTGTTACAGTAGAATTAATTAAAAATCTGCTGCTGATTTTATTTTTCTGGTCTCTTGCTTAATTAATAAAAAGTTACCTTTGACGTTTAGTGACTTGGGTTCTCTTACAATTTGAGGGCTTGGAGGAAACACTGGACAAATCATGTGATCTTCATTTGTGTCTGGTAAAAGCACATCTTTTTTCCAAAGTGGTCTCTGAATCATTCTTCCAAAAGTCACATGCTATGTTCATTTGCTCAGCACATAGGAGCTCACAGACAGGACACAACGTTCCTAGCAGCATCCTACAACGTAGAAATCCAAAGAGATTTATGGAAATCAAAAAACTTTGGGTTCAGAAATATTGAAACATTTTTAAAATGGAATTTAAAATATTTAAATTGCCTTGGATTTGTTTGTTTGTTTGTGACAGGGTCTTGCTCTGTCACCCAGGCTGGAGTGCAGTGGCGTGATCTCGGCTCACTGCACACTCTGCCTCCTGGGTTCAAGCGATTCTCCTGGCTCAGCCTCCTGAGTAGCTAGGACTACAGGCACACACCACCATGCCCAACTAATTTTTGTATTTTTAGTAGAAATGGGGTCTCACCACGTTGGCTAGGCCGGTCTCAAACTCCTGACCTCAAGTGATCCACCCACCTCAGCCTCTGAAAGTGCTGGGATTACAGGTGTTAACCACCACACCCGGCCTACCTTGGAATTTTTTTGGTCTATTGGTAGGTTTTTTTTTTTTCAAGAATAAATACCAGTTTTCATCTGCCATTTTCCACGTCATGTATATTCAGGATTTATCCCATGTTAACTGAAACTTTTCAGATTTTCCTAATTTTCCTCACTTTTTGAGATTCACAAAGTTTTCAAGCAATATAAAGTTGAGTATTCAAAGAAGTTTTGAAACTTACATAGCCAGAGCCTTCCCTGTACCTATAGAACCTGTGCAGAGTTAGCCTACAGAGTCCACTATGGGGCCAATCTCTGTTCTCCAGAGCAGGCAGTTACAATGGAAGCATTGTTACTAGAACAGAGAAACAGCTCTACAAGAAAAGCCATTTAAATAATAAGAGACTGCATCCCAGGGAATATCCAACCAAGAATATGTTCTCTTCCTCTTTTAAAATCTTACAGGATTCTAATTTACTCTCGCACTGGTATAGAAGGTATTTTAAAGAACCAGGATCCTAACATCTGATACACTGGCATTGGAAAATAGCAATTTAAAAAGAACACAAATTGAAAAACCAAAAAAATACCTTGCTGAACCTTGGGGGAGACAGATATTTTGAGTTGAAGAGAGAATGAAGTCTAATACGACAGAGTGATCAGTTTCTCTTTCATAAATGTGTCCCTGGCTCATACAGATCCATCTACAACATAGAAATGTACAATAGAGGTCAGAGGAATAAAACCTGGCCCAACAGAAGAAGAGAAAGATCTAGACGAGGACTAGAACAGAGACGAGAACACTATGGCCTACTGACAGAGAATTAACAGTTAACATCAGAACCATATTCCAGGTTACCTGCCAATTGTTAAATAACTACCTATCTTATACTATCTTATAGTTTAACTGTGTATCATTTGTCCCCATTAGGGCTCATATTTTCTAGACTAATCCTTTTATAGTCTTTATGCAGAATGTTTTATTTGTTAGGAGGGATGTTAGGACATAATGGACCCAAATGACTTCACAGTTGCCATCCTGGTTCCCAGATTGGGTAGACTAGTCTGCCACTCCTCTTATATACATCACATCCATGTTGATTCATTAGGCACTGGGGTGGGCCTAATGAGACATATGAACTCTCAAATCCATGTTTGACCTACATTACCTTTATGCATTAAGCAACTAAAAATCTCTCAAAATAAATATCAAAATGTTTATTCTCTCTTCTAGATTAGTGAAGGAACGAAATGCATTTTCATTCCCAAGAAGTTGTTTCTAGCAGAAGCCAGCACTGGATTCAGGAGAAGGGCTTTAGAGCTGGTGTGTGCCTACCCCATAGGGGAGGCCATCAGTAAGCACCTGGTCAAGCAGCAAGTGTGGAATGAGTACCAGGCCAAGTTCTTGGCACCCCACCTGACAAAGGGAAGTAGAACCACTGGCTCAACTCATATATATTTATTTATTTAATTTAATTTATTTTTTTTAGAGACAGAGTCTTGCTCAGTCACCGAGGCTGGAGTGCAGTGGCGTGATCTCCACTCACTGCAACCTCCGCCTCCCAGGGTCTAGCAATTCTCTTGCCTCAGCCTCCCAAGTAGCTAGGATTACAGGTACATGCTGCCATGCCAGCTAATTTTTTGTATTTTAGTTGAGATGGGATTTCACCATGTTGCCCAGGCTGGTCTTGAACTCCTGAACTCAGGCAGTCCACCCGCTTCAGCCTCCCAAAGTGCTAGGATTACAGGCGTGAGCCACCATGCCTGGCCTCATTTTTATTTTTAACAAGAAAACTTAGATTGAAAAATATAATTGGAAAGTGATTTCAATACGCTCTTAGAAGTGCCTCTATAGAGGTCATGGCACAGGATTTATTTTGTGTCACTTAAATAAATGACATCATACCCTTCATTTGCTCAAAGCTCCATCTGGTAACTTCCTCACACTGGAAAACACAATGAAGCCTGATAAGTTAGATTGTTGTTTTTCATTGGATGATGTGTTCAGGATTTACTTATTAAAATGGTATCACTTGACATTGGACATTGTTTTCCATATATTTGTTAGTGACAAAAGCAGGCTATAAACTATGATTATGATTTCAATAAAAACGTGTGTGTATTTTTATAGCATATAAAATGGCAGACAATTTTAACAATGGCAATCTGTGAATGATGCATTTTGGAGTTTTTAAAACAGTTCCAGTTCTGCTTGGATTACTATTTCTATGAGATAAACTTTGAAGACTAAGAAACTAACAGTAAATAAAGAGGGAAAAGATCCTCAAGAGAGCTTCACATTGTTTAAACCCTGTATCTTGTTTTGGCAACGTTAAAGATGATACTATTTAGATGCTTTATTGTGCCCCCTTTCCTCATACGTTCCTGAAATCATAGCCCACCTTTGATTTGCTTACTGAACACCAGGGGTTCAGTCTGCTCAACACAGACAGACAATCACTGAGATGAATATTGCTAAAGAAGAAGGCTTTCATATGCAGAAAACTGAAACTTGACCCCTTTCTTACACCTTATACAAAAATTAGCTCAAGATGGATTACGGACTTAAACGTAAGACCTAAAACCATAAAAACCCTAGAAGAAAACCTAGGCAATAGCATTCAGGACATAGGCATGGGCAAAGACTTCATGACTAAAATAACAAAAGCAATGGCAACAAAAGCCAAAATTGACAAATGGGATCTAATTAAACTAAAGAGCTTCTGCACAGCAAAAGAAACTATCATCAGAATGATAGGCAACCTACAAAATGGTAGAAAATTTTTGCAATCTATCCATCTAACAAAGGGCTAATATCCAGAATCTACAAGGAACTTAAACAAATTTACAAGAAAAAAAACCCCATCAAAAAGTGGGCAAAGGATATGAACAGACACCTCTCAAAAGAAGGCATTTATGCAGCCAAAAAAACATATGAAAAAAATCTCATCATCACTGGTCATTAGAGAAATGCAAATCAAAACCACAATGAGATACCATCTCACACCAGTTAGAATGGCAATCATTAAGTCAAGAAACAACAGATGCTGGAGAGGATGTGGAGAAATAGGAACACTTTTACACTGTTAGTGGGAGTGTAAATTAGTTCAATCATTGTGGAAGACAGTTTGGCAATTCCTTAAGGATCTAGAACCAGAAATACCATTTGACCCAGCAATCCCATTACTGGGTATATACCCAAAGGATTATAAATTATTCCACTGTAAAGACACAAGCACACGTATGTTTATTGCAGCACCATTCACAATAGCAAAGACTTGGAACCAACCCAATGTCCATCAATGATAGACAGGATTAAGAAAATGTGGCACATATACACCATGGAATACTATGCAGCCATAAAAAAGGATAAGTTCATGTCCTTTGCAGGGACATGGATGAAACTGGAAACCATCATTCTTAGCAAACGAACACAGGAACAGAAAACCAAACACCCCATGTTCTCACTCATAAGTGGGAGTTGAACAATGAGAACACAGGGACACAGGGAAGGGAATATCACACACCAGGGCCTGTCGGGGGGTAGGGGGCTAGGGGAAGGATAGCATTAGGAGAAATACCTAATGTAGATGATGGGTTGATGGGTGCAGCAAACCACCATGGCACATGTATACCTATGTAACAAACCTGCACATTCTGCACATGTATCCCAGAACTTAAAGTATAATTAAAAAGAAAAAAAGGCTTTAATCAGGTACTGTGGCTGAAGAGATGGGAGATCAGTCTCAAATCCATCTCCCTGACCTACTAAGATAAGGGGTTTATATAGCAGGGAAGAAATGTAACCATGTGTGGGAAAACAGGAATTAGGGAGGGTAAACAAGAGGAGTTGGTCAACAGGAAGCAGATGGTCAGTTAGGCAGTCATGACAGATGAGGGGGTCTGATCTCTCACTGTCCAAATGAAGTAATCTAGTGAGTTTCAGCTCCTTGATACTATTTGGGAGGCCTGACGGTTGGTTTCCTGAGAAAGGAACTCAGGTAAGACAAATGTTAACTTCCTCAAGTTTTAAGATTGAGAGGATCAATTTCTATGTCTGTTCAAAGAAACCATAAACATCAGCTCTGTGGGAAAATTGGGTCAGTTTCAATTTCAACAATGTTGAACAGCTCCAGCACGTTGATGGCATCTCACCTCCAGTGTTCACACCAAGGGTTCCTAACTCTCAGCAAAGGTGGGAATGGGATTTTATGGATAAATGCCTCAGCCTCCCCATCTTTGGAGGAACAGTTCTGAGATATATTCAACACGATTCCTCAGAGGGTCCTGTGTTAGCTGTTTCTGTGTAACAAATTACTTCAAACAGTGGTTTAAAATAACAAATGTTTTTTATTTCACAATTCCTATGCATCAGGAATCTGAGAGCAGCTTAGCTGGGTGGCTTTGGCTCAGAGACTCTCAATGGCTCTCACTGGCTACAATCAATGAGTCCACGAAGGCTACAGTCATTGGAGGCCTGACTAGGTCTGGAGGATCCACTTCTGTTGACAGAGTGACTGTTGACAGGAGGCTTCACCTGGCCACACAGACCTCTTCATAAGACTCCTCACCACATCGCTTCCCCCAGAGGGAGGGCCAGTGCCCAAAATGAAAGCCATGGTCTTTTTTATGACCTAATCTTGTAAGTGACCTACCATCACTTCTGCTATGTGACATTGGTCAGACACACCAACCCTGGTACAGAGTGAACAGGCACTACACAAAGGTATGACTGTACGGAGGCCGGGCTCATTGGGGCCATCCTGGAGCCTGGCTACCACAGGTCTCCAGCAGGACTGAGTCACAGGTACCTACAGTGAGAGCTCAACTGATAATGCTTCTTCCCTGTTTGACTCTTCCATTCTCTCATTTCTGCTTCCTGAGATGCACCCCCCCTACCCCCAATAACTTGCCTAAACCTAAAGCTTGATTTAGGTTCTCATTTCAGCAGAACCCAAAACAAGAAAAATCCTGGCCTATTATGAAAAATGCCAGTCAGGGTCTTCCCCTGACTAGAATTTTGTTAGCTGAAACATAAATGGCCTACCACTTTAAATGTCCAACTTTTTATTCTGAAATAACTTAAAACATATAGAAGAGTTACAGTAATAGTATAAACAACTTCATAGACCTTTAACCAGATTCACCATTTTTAACATTTTGCCACATATTTTTAATGTAAAATTTTCTTAGAAACATTTGAGAGTAGGTTGCATACATCATGCCCTTTGTATTGGTCAGGGTTCCCCAGAGATACAGAACCACTGGGATGCATGTATGTGTTTGTTTATTATTAATTATTTTTTCATACTTCATTTTATTTATTTCAATAGGTTTTTGGGGAACAGGTGGTGTTTAGTTACAAAAATAAGTTATTTAGTGGTGATTTCTGAAGTTTGGTGCGCCCATCACCCCAGCACTGTACACTGTACCCAGTGTGTAGTCTTTTATCCCTCACCTTCCTCCCACCCTTTCCCCCAGGTTCATTGTATCGTTCTTATGCCTTTGTGTCCTCATAGCTTAGGTCCCACTTATGAGTGAGAACATACAATGTTTGGTTTTCCATTCCTGAGTTATTTCACTTAGAATAATGGTCTCCAAACCCATCCAGGTTGCTGTGAAGGCCATTAATCCATGGTATACATATATATATATATCACAATTTCTTTATCCACTTGTTAATTAATGGGCATTTGGGCTGGTTCCATACTTTTGCAATTGCAAATTATGCTGCTATAAACATGCATGTGCAATATCTTTTTCATATAATGACTTCTTTTCCTCTGGGTAGATACCCAATAATGAGGTTGCTGGATCAAATGGTATTTCTATTTTTAGTTCTTTAAGGAATCTCTACACTGTTTTTCATAGCAGTTATACTAGTTTACATTCCCACCAGCAGTGTAAAAGTGTTCCCTTTTCACCACATCCATGCCAACATCTATTATTTTTAAATTTTTTATCATGGCCATTCTTGTAGCAGTAAGGTAGTATTGCACTGTGGTTTTGATTTGCATTTCCTTGATCATTAGTGATGTTGATTGTTTTTTCATGTTTTTTGGCCATTTGAATTTCTTTTTTTGAGATTGTCTATTCATATCCTTAGCCCACTTTTTGATGAGATTATTTGTTTTATTCTTGTTGATTTGTTTGAGTTCCTTGTAGATTCTGGATATTTTCTCCCACTCTGTGGGTTGTCTGTTTACTCTGCTGATTATTTCTTTGCTGTACAGAACCTTTTAGTTTAATTAAGTCCCATTCTTCTTTGAATGTCTGATAGAATTCAGTTATCCTCCATCTGGTCCAGAACTTTTTTGTTGTTGGCATTTTTTTATTATTACTATTTCAATCTCGCTGCTTGTTATTGGTCTCTTCAGAGTTTCTGTTTCTTCCTGGCTTAATCTAGGAGGGTTGTATATTTCCAGGAATGTATCAATCTCCTCTAGGTTTTCTAGTTTATGCGTATAAAGGTGTTCATAGTAGCTTTGAATGATCTTTTGTATTTCTGTGGTATCGGTTGTAATATCTCCGTTTTCATTTCTAATTGAGTTTATTTGGATCTTCTCTCTTCTTTTCTTAGTTAGTCTCACTAATAGTCTATCAGTTTTATTTATCTTTTCAACAAACTAGCGCTTCGTTTTTGTTGCATTTGCTTTTGGGTTCTTGGTCATAAAGTCTTTGCCTGAGCCGACGTCTAAAAGGGTTTTTCTGATGTTATCTTCTAGAATGTTTATGGTTTCTGGTCTTAGATTTAAGTCTTTGATTCATCTTGAGTGATGAGGATCCAGTTTCATTCTTCTACACGTGGCTTGCCAGTTACCCCAGCACCATTTGTTGAATAGGGTGTTCTTTCCCCAAACATAAATTTGTTTTTGTTTGCTTTGTCGAAGATCAGTTGGTGATAAGTATTTGGCTTTATTTCTGGGTTCTCTATTCTGTTCCATTTGTCTATGTGCCTATTTTTACACCAGTACCATGCAGTTGTGGTGATTACAATTCAGTCTACAAATTGAATTTTAGATTGCTTTTGGCAGTATGGTCATTTTCCCAATATTGAGTCTACCCATCCATGTGCATGGGATGTATTTCCATTTGTTTGTGGTGTCTATAATTTCTTTCAGTAATGTTTTGTAGTTTTCCTTGTAGAGGCCTTTCACCTCATTGGTTAGGTATATTCCTAAGTGTTTTATTTTATTTTTTTGCAGCTGTTGTAAAAGTGATTGAGTTCTTGATTTGATTCTCAACTTGGTCGCTGTTGGTGTATAGGAGAGCTACTGATTTGTGTATATTAATTTGTATTCTGAAACTTTGCTGAATTCATTTCTCAGTTCTAGGAGCTTTTTGGATGAGTCTTTAGGGTTTTCTAGGTATACAGTCAGATCATCAACAAACAGCGACAGTTTGACTTCCTTTTTACCAATTTAGATGCCCTTTATTTCTTTCTCTTGTCTGATTGCTCTGGCTAGAATTTCCAGTATTATGTTAGATAGAAGTGGTGAAAGTGGACATCCTTGTCTTCTTCCAATTCTCAGGGGAATGCTTTCATTTTTTTTCTTGCTCAGTGTAATATTGGATGTGGGTTTGTCATAAATGGCTTTTATTACCTTAACATATGTTCCTTCTATGCCAATTTTGCTGAAGGTTTTAATCATAAAGCGATGCTGGATTTTGTCAAATGCTTTTTCTGCATCTATTGAGATGATCATATGGTCATAAAACCAGCTCTTTGCTTCATTTGTCTTTTATATTTTTGTTCATTTGTTTCAATTTCATTTAGTTCTGCTCTGATCTTCATTATTTCTTTTCTTCTGCTGGGTTTGAGTTTGCTTTGTTCTTGTTTCTCTAGCTCCTTGAGGTGTGACCTTAGATTTGTGCTCTTTCAGGCCTTTTGATGTAGTCATTTAATACTATGAACTTCCCTCTTAGCACCACCTTTGCTGTATCCCAGGGGTTTTGATATTGTGCCATTACTATTGTTCAGTTCAAAGAATTTTAAATTTAAATTTCCATCTTGATTTCCTTTTGACTCGACGATCATTCAGGAACAGGTTGTTTAATTTCCATGTGTTTGCATGGTTTTCAGGGTTCCTTTCAGAGTTAATTTCCAATTTTATATTCCACTGTGGTCTGAGAGAGTACTTGATATAATTTTGATTTTCTTAAATTTATTAAGACTTGTTTTGTGGCCTGTCATATGGTCTGTCTTGGAGAATGCTCCATGTATGATGAATAGAATGTATATTCTGCAGTTGTTGGCTAGACAGTTCTGTAAATATCTG